>NC_000004.12:110436532-110588047 GCF_000001405.40 Homo sapiens
CTATAGGTAGTCCATTCAGTGGTATAATTGAGAGGAACTCAGGATTTATTGCTCTTGGTGGGTAGGAAAAACTGAAAAATGTGGCTAATATTGGGTTTCAAATGGCCCTTGAAATTTCTTGTGATTATCCACAAAAGCATACACTAAGTTGACGTACACTAAGGTAACATGGTAGAACGTTAAGGCAATGCTTTGTGAGTTGGTGTATCTGTTTGATTCTCATTTTTCCATATCCTCATGTATAAAATGAGACAATAATAGTGATCTATCAAGATTACTGGAAGGTGGTAAATAATGCATAGGAAACTGCCTGCCACATGACTCACAATTAGTATTAGCCCCTTCCCCTTGAATGATAAATATCAGTGGAATATCTACTGACTTTTTAATATGATGGAATTATTTTTCATTCATTCTCCAAATATTTATTGAACAAGTCAGTCAGGGATTAGGCATGAAAGCAGAAGCCTCTCAATATATTCCAAGTATGAATATTTTCAATGCAGGGAATTAGAGGCTTACCCAATGGTTAGAAGGCTGCAGAAACCAAGGTGAAGAAGGCTGTCAGCAACAATCTCAGCCTTTGCACTATGAGGTTCTCAAGAGTTTGCACAAAAGACACCTGAAATTAACCTCTGGGAGATTCCCTCTGACCTCTCAGTCTGCAGGAGTGATGCAGGTGATTTTCGGGAAGCTCACCTGGAAACTGCTTCAAACCTTCTATCTTGGTCATGTGCCTGCAGCCGCTTCCAGAAAATAATGACCCCTTTCTCTTCCAAATCTTGTGCACGTGCTTCCCATTGCAATGGGTTTCTGGGAAATGTCGTTCTCAGCTTCTCCTGCAGTGGAGACCTTAGAGAGGGGTAGCAGTGATGCCAAGTTGACCCTAGGTAATCCAGCACACCAACTATGCACAGCCCTGTGCTCAGTGTTGTGAGGAATACAATGGTAATGCACATGTGGATCTTGTTTCCGTCCTGCTCCCAGTGGGAAAGGGAGCATAAGACATGTAAATAAAACCAGTAGCCCAAGGCAGAAGACTCAGGTGGAGGCAGATGCAGGAACAATGCTGGGCAAATTGGTGAAAGAAAGATGTTTTTCAGTCAGGGAAGGGAGAATCAGGGAAGGCTTAATGGAATAGGTGGACTTTGGGTTCAACTTGGAAGAACCAGTAGGTTTGGAGTATAAGTAAATATGGAAAAGCAGGGAATTCCAGGAACATGAAAACATTACAAAGAGAAACACAGAAATAGAAAAGAGTGTAGTGGGTACTGAGAATATTATTAAACTGAAGAAAAGTATTACTGAAAAGGAATAAAACAGAGGGGAAATCCCAAAAAGTAGTTTTTATTTAATCATAGGATACTATTGCCAAATATGAGTTTGAAATCTCTTTAATAGGAAATGGGGAGGAATTTAAGGTTTTGAAAGTATCATGATTCAATTGCCCCATGAGGATGACTCTTTACCACAATTCTATTATGCCTGTATTACTCCTGCAATACCTCGGCTAAACGCTACTGCATGCCCTGGATGTGTGCGAATTCAGTACGCACAACTATACATAGGCACCCTCTTATTTTTCCATTTAATAGGTTGATAGAAGAAATTGAGGCTCAGAAAAATAACAGAACTGCCCACGACCACACAGTGATGGAAATGGAATTTGAGTCTTGTAGTTTTTGACTCCAAAGCTAAAATTATTTCCACTAAAATTTTCTATACCAAACCCTCCCCCATCCTACCACCGGCAGCCCCACCAAATTAAAAAAAAAAAAAATCCCCTCAGCTGCTTTTGGCTCCCTTTTTCTAACTGTATAGGTCTTATTCTGAATCCTGAGAAATAATCAGATGGTAGTAAGTTTGATCTCCAGTTGAAGATCAAACTTACAATCTTGGTTTTTCTTCATATACATGTCACAGTACAAATATTGTGCAGTTTTACATAATAAGAGAAGATTCTGAAAGTTATTTTTCATCCAATCTAATTTCAAGGAAACTCAGTCAGCAAATGTTCTGGTAATGCAAATACTCTCAACCCATGTCCTTTAGGCATGAAAATGGTTCTGGATTAAAGGTGACTATTCTGCTTAGTAGATCATTTAACAAATCTTAAAAAATCGCTTCATCTTTACTTATACATGCATTAAAATATAATCACCATGTTTAAGATGAACTAATCTCTTGTCAAAGTATACAGTCTCAAACTGTGACCCCAAACATAACCAGCCCATGTTTCTGACCTTTCTCATCAATATTTCCCTTCTCATTCTTGGCTGTTTCAACTCTGCGCCACGGGTTTCTGTGCCTAAATTGTTCATCTCCATATATCCAAATTCTACTCATTCTTTAAACCCCAATATAAATTCCATTTTCTGATGAAGTCTTTGTTCATCAATTGCCCATCATTACCCCACTAAATTTTCTTTCCTCTGACAATCCCATAACACTTTTTGTCTGAATCACTCCTAGTGATGTCGAGTCACATTTTAATTAGTTGTTTTCATTTTTTTATTTGTATACATTTAAGGAGTACAAGTGCAATTTTTTTACATGGTGTATTAGTCAGGGTTCTCTAGAAGGATAGAACTAATAGGACAGATGTATATATAAAGGGGAATTTATTAAGGAATATTGACTCACACGATCACAAAGTGAGGTCCCACAATAGACTGTCTGCAAGCTGAGGAGCAAGGAAGCCAGTCCAAGTCCCAAAGCTGAAGAACTTGGAGTCTGATGTTTGAGGGCGAGAAGCATCCAGAGTGGGAGAAAGATGTAGGCTGGGAAACTAAGCCAGTCTAGTCTTTTCACATTCTTCTGCCTGCTTGTATTCTGGTCACACTGGCAGCTGATTAGTTGGTGCCCATCCAGATTGAGGGTGGGTCAGCTTTTCCCAGTTCACTGACTCAAATGTTAATTTCCTTTGGCAACACCCTCACAGACACACCCAGGAAGAATACTTTGCACCCTTGAATCCAATCAAGTTGACAATATTAACCACCATGCATGGATATATTGCTCAGTGAAGTCTGGGTTTTTAGTGGGTCCATCACCTGAATAATGCACATTGTATCCAAAAGGTGATTTCTCATCTCCCACCCTCCCCGAACCTCCCATCCTTCGGAGTCGCCAATGCCTATCATTCCACACTCTATGTCCATGTGTATACATTATTTTACATTTCAATTATTAATGTATAGTCATCCACCACACAATGCTTCCATCAACAATGAATCTCATATACCATGGTCCTAATAGTCCTGAGGTACTGCACTGTCCCTTATCGGTCTTTTTACACACAGATCAGGGCTGTGGTGCAGGTATAAATAAGGGACTTAGTATGAAGGTGTTTATGGATAAGAGTTTGAAACAGAATTTGATAGAACAGAAATTGGTCAGAGCCTTTTATTTTTCATAACTAAGGATAAACTCCCTAGGGGAATTACCACATATGTCATAAAGCTTTAAATTTGCTGCCTAATATTAGCAGTATACCATGAGTTCTTGTAAAGAATAAAATTATGCTTGCTTGTTTAATTCCATTCTATAACTCAGACTCTTTCAGTCTACACATGCCTACAATTAGAATGAATAAATAATAAAAATAGTAAACATTCAACATAGCCCCGTATTATGCACCAGGCTCTCATCTTTTAGCATTTTACTAAACAATGCAATTAATACTAACAGCAACACTGAGAGGTAGGTACTATTTTTTCTTTTCTTTTTTTTTCTTTTTCTTTTTTTTTTTTTGAGACAGACTTTTGATCTTGTTGCCCAGGCTGGAGTGCAATGGCAACATCTCACCTCACCACAACCTCCGCTTCCCGGGTTCAAGGATTCTCCTGCCTCAGCTTCCCGAGTAGCTGGGATTACAGGCATGAGCCACCATGCCTGGCTAATTTTGTATTTTTAGTAGAGACGGGGTTTCTCCATGTTGTTCAGGCTGGTCTCCAACTCCCGATCTCAGGTGATCCACCTGCTTCGGCCTCCCAAAATGCTGGGATTACAGGCGTGAGCCACCATGCCCTGCCGAGGTAGGTACTATTATCACCATTTTACAAATGAGAACCTGAGGCCCAGAGAGGTTAAATAACTTGCCTAATATTACACAGTGAATACTTGTCAAAGCTAGAATTTAACGTAAGGTAGTCCTAGTTAATTCCCTAGTCAGCTTTTTCAATCATACTGGATTTGAAGTCCTTCAGAAACAAAGCAACTCAAAACAGGTAATCAAACAATTCCTACTTCGGCTGTAATCTTAAAGCAGAAAACTTTTGGCCAGACGCGGTGGCTCATGCCTGTAATCCCAGCACTTTGAGAGGCTGAGACAGGCGGATCTCTTGAGGTCAGGAGTTCGAGAGCAAACTGGCCACCATGGTGAAACCCCATCTCTACTAAAAATACAAAAATTAGCTAGGCGTGGTGGTGCACGCCTGTAGTCCCAGCTACTTGGGAGGCTGAGATGGGAGAATTGCTTCAACCCAGGAAGCAGAGCTTGCAGCAAGCCGAGATTGCCCCATTGCACACCAGCCTCGGTGACAGAGCGAGACTCCATCTCAAAAAACAAACAAACAAACAAAAAACCAGAAAACTTTCATCATATGAGGTTTTCTATTCATTGAGGCTTTATAAACTGAATCACTGATTTGTGCCAAAGAAACTGCCACTATTTAAAGTGAATTCTAATATAAAGTTGGACAATATGTTTTATTCTCATTTTACAATTTCAGTAATGTGACTTCTTCATCACAAGCATTGCTTTTTAGTTAATGGATATGAAAATGTGTGAAAAAAATCCCCGAACCTCTGAATCTGCAAAATGCAATGTGGAGCATATCATCATAATGAAATATGTCCATACAACTGAAGATAGTCCTCAACTTACGAGTTTTTTACTTTCCAGTGAGTTTATCAGGGTATTAAATGCATTTTCAACTTACGATAGTTTTTTATTTGCAATGGGTTTATTGGGATGTAACCCCACTGTAAGTCAAGGCACATCTGTATAATTATTTTGTTATAAATATATAAATACCAGAATGTGGATGACTATATAGCTAAATAATATTAATCTTTATTGAGTGTGTACCAGGGGCCACATTCTGTACTAAATGTTCTGATTGTGTCATATTGCCTGATTCTCATGATATCGTGATGAGATCAGTCTTGCTATTACCCTGATTTTAGAAATGAGGTAACAGACTTGAAGACATTAACTTGTATATATGAAGTTTCCCAGGAGATAAGCAGTGGGGCCAGGATCTGAGTATGTGTGGGCCACAGGTCAGCAACATAATGATGCAAAACCACGGCAAATAGTCCAATCCAAAATGAGAACATGAAACCATGTCCCTGGTGGTCCTCAATCTCTCCGTGTGTCAGAATTGCTTGTGGAGCAGTACAAACCAAACAAAAACTTCCATGCAGGAGATTCTTATTCTTTAGGACTGAGGTGATATCCAGGCTTCTAGAATTTCACATTTTAACAAAGGTGATTCTTATGCACAATCAGAATGAAGAACCACTACATTCTGTACATTCTGCATAGTGTCTGTAGAGATGTAGAAACATTTCTTTTTAATTACGTGAATGATACATGAAATTTTCATTGAAAGATTCAAACAATATAGAAGTATACAGAGCAAAACAAATATAGATGCATTTCCATTCTATCATATGCTTTGTTATTCTATTTCAGGTATTTCTAGCATGCATTATTACTAATGCACTGATTACCTCAGTTCTTTTGATGTAAGGGTCAGATTAAAATGTAAGATAAGATTTCTGCCAAAACAGATTGCACATTTCTATTGGTGGATTTTGTATTGTTGTGTATCTTGTCCTCCATAAATTGATGTCATTATCTACCATATTCAAAAGTTCCTGCTGATTATGCAGGTGCCCACACAAGGCTGTGGAGTCGGCAGTGTGACTCACAGTAGGTGCCTTCATAATTTGTTCCCTGCTTAGTCATTCTTGGGCAGGAGGTGTCACTGTTTGCAGCTCTGCCTCTTTTTCCCATGGACTACATGGCCATTTGGCTTAAAATAATTCACCTTTTATCTGACTGCTATAAGATATCTTGATCCATCTGCCCAGGCATCTGCCAGCCTTTCCTGCTGAGGAGCTCATTTTGATTTTTCTGGAACTTACGTTCTTTCCTAATCCTAGGACTGGGGATAAAGAGAATGGGGTTCATTGACAAAGACACCCACAAGGGGATCCTGACTGAACTGGAGCCTAATTCAGGCAACTGCCTGCCATACCATCTTCCTGGCAAGATTTCCCCAGCACTGTGGGGAAGGGAGTGAGCCAACTTAGAGAACGCAGCCAGCTTAGAGACTGATCCCGTAAGGGTTCAAGAACAGCCAGTTGATCACTACTGACCTACTGGTTCATCCTAGTTCAGTGGCTTTTGGTCTCTTATAATTATTTCATTCTACTCTGAAGAAGGTTCTTTGGAACAATTTTATAGTGCCTTTATAGAGGCACTATATGTTAATCAGTAAGATCTGGTCAACAAAACAAACCTTGTTAAGTCATTCCAAGAAGTCATGAAGATACTGAAAAGTGCTATTATCTCCAAAATAGGGTAGAAAAACAGAATAAGGGAGAATTTCCATACCTCATCCAGAGTCTCACAGTGTACAGATCTTTCAAGCGCCTCTCCAATCCAGTCTCTACCCTTCTTCACCTGCTCTGTGCCCTGGGAGGCTCATCTGTAGGGGCTATGTCATTGCTTCCAGATGGGCATAGTACAAGGGGACCACTGGCAGGAGATCAGCAGGAAGAAAGACAGTAAAGTTGTAGCACTTATTTCCTTGGGTCCCTCTTTTTGGAGTCACAGGGAAAAGCTGGACCCATAAACTAAAGATACAATGCCAGGTAGGTGGCTCTGTCTACACAGCCCTTTTTCCTTTAAAATTTCTCCAGCTGTTCCCTCTTCTCTCCCTTTCAGCCTTTGATGAATAGCAGAGTCCTGCTGCTACCAGCACTGTGGTGTTGCGCTGATGTGGTTTGTCTCTGTGTCCCCCCCCAACTCTCGTGTGGAATTGTGATCCCCATTATTGAAGGAGAGGTCTGGTGGGAGGTGATTGGATCATGGGGGTGGATTTCCCCCTTGCTATTCTTGTGACAGTGAGTAAGTTTGCATGAGATCTGGTTGTTTAAAAGTGTGTAGCGGGCCAGGCACGGTGGCTCACACCTGTAATCCCAGCACTTTGGGAGGCTGAGGCTGGTGGATCACGAGGTCAAGAGATCGAGACCATCCTGGCCAACATGGTGAAATCCTGTCTCTACTAAAAATACAAGAATTAGCTGAGTGTGGTGGTACATGCCTGTAGTCCCAGCTACTCGGGAGGCTGAGGCAGGAGAATCACTTGAACCCGGGAGGCAGAGGTTGCAGTGAGCCGAGATAGCACTAATGCACTCCAGCCTGGTGATAGAGCAAGACTCCATCTGAAAACAAACAAACAAACAAACAAACAAAAAAGCGTGTAGCATTTCCGCCTTTGCTTTCCCTTCCTCCTGCTCCAGCCATGCAGAACATGCTGGCTTCCCCTTTGCCTTCCACCGTGATTTTAAGTTTCCTGAGGCTTCCCTAGCCATGCTTCCTATACAGCCTGCAGAACTGTGAGCCAATTAAACTTCTTTTCTTTATAAATTACCTAGTCTCAGGTAGTTCTTTATAGCAGTGTGAGAATGGACTAATACATGTGCTCTTCCTAGTAATTTTTCCACATGCTGTCCATGCCTTTGTATATCATCCCTTTATTAACTACTTTTCTTAAATTGCCTTATTTCAATGTGACATCTTGTTTTGCTGGGACCCACATAAAGCAGATAGAGGACATCTCTGTAATTCTCCAAAATAGCACAATGCCTAGAAGCACACTAGCATTTTGGATTATATAAAGTAGGTAGCTCTGAAGGATGAGTGCAGCAATATTCTCTCTATATGATTTCCAGAAAGACATGTTAATGGGGCTTTCACATGCTCTAGATTTCCAACAACACCTGAAGGAACCTACGCCCTCATGGATACCAGCCCCATTCTCTTTATTGCCTCAACCAATCTCCTTGTACTTCTACCTCATTCATTTACACCAACTACCCAATTATCTTAGCTATGTATTCATCCTGAAACTTAGTCCAAAGATTTTAGTAACTATCCATTAGTCAATTGTCAACATAAAAAATAGAGAGATGAATCTTAAGGTAAAAAGGTTTTATTTGGGAATTATATATAAGAAGGATTGGCCGGGCATGGTTTCTCATTCCTGTAATCCCAGCACTTTGGGAGGCCAAGGCGGGCAGATCACCTGAGGTCAGGAGTTCAAGACCAGCCTGGCCAACATGATGTAACCCTGTCTCTACTAAAAATACAAAAATTAGTTGGGTGTGGTGGCGGGCACCTGTAATCCCAGCTACTTGGGAGGTTGAGGCAGGAGAATCTCTTGAACCTGGGAGGTGGAGGTTGCAGTGAGCTGAGATTAAAAAAAAAAGAAGAAGAAGGATTGCCATCTGGTACATACCTACAGACCAGGGTGGCCTTTGGTATGTCTGAAAAACAAGAAAAGATTAGAATTTATTGGGGAAAGAGAAGGTTACACAGTTGTTTTGAAAAAAGCTTATTGGCACTGGGCGTGTCTTACAAGAGTTGGCTGAGCATAACTATGTACCGAGCAATGTGCTATTCTAATATTGGATATTATTTTAACAAGACTATAAGGTAAATTTTCCTTTGCATTAAAAATATACAAAGCAAATTATTTGTATTGGTAGATACTGTATGCCTATATGTGTACTTAGATAAATTTATATTAATAAGCAAAATATAATATTAGGACCATTTTTAAACCATATTTTAAGAAGTGCATTTTTTGTCATTGAAAAATGTCAAAGAACAAAATAAGACATATTTCTATAACCTCACCTGGATTCATTAAGCAGTGACTTTTATGCCATACCTGATATCTCTTCCCCTATTTCCTCCAATCCCCTCGCTCGCTCTCCATATGCGCGCACACACACGCGCGCGCACACACACACACACACACACACACACACGGACATATACACAGAAATTCCCTTTTCTCAACCATCCAAAAATTAGGCTGCAGACATCAGGACACTTCATTCGTAAGTACTTCAGCTCTCAAGAACAGGACATTCTTCTACAGAACTACAATACCAGTACCACACCTTAGAAAATCATCATTATATAGCCGGGCATGGTGGCACATGCCTGTAATCCCAGCTACTCGGGAGGCTGAGGCAGGAGAATCAGTTGAACCCGGGAGGCAGAGGTTATGGTGAGCCGAGATTGCGCCATTGCACTCCAGCCGGGGCAACAAGAGTGAAACTCTGTCTCAAAAAAAAAAAAAAAAAAAAAACCATCATTACTTCAATAGCAACATCCAACACGCAGTCCATACCTAAATATCCTCGATTGTTCCATTATGTCCCTTATTGTTAGATTTATTTTTCAATCAAGGATCCAATCAAGGTTGATATATTGCACTTAGCTGCTGTATATGTTCAGGCTCCTCATATTTTGATTGGTGCAATTGCTTCCCCGGTTTATAATATTAAAGTATTTGAAGAGACCTGCAGAACACCCCATATTCAGAATTTTTTTCCTTGTGGTTAGGCTCAAGTTGAACATTTCTAGCAAGAACACCTTGTAGGTGATGCTATTTCCCTCCCACTGCAGAAGTTCAGGAGGCAGGACATCAGGCTATTCCACTAGCAGCAGCGTCAAGCTCAACCACTTGGATAATATGGCGAACTCTCTATTATAAAGATGTATTTCATCCTTTTGCAAGTAATAAGTTATCTGTGGGTTGATACCTTAAAACTGCAAGAGTATTCTGTTCCCCCAGAACTTTTAACCTAATGATTTAAGCATCTATCTGTCTATCTATCTATACATACATACATATATTTTTTGAGACAGTGTTTCACTCTGTTGCCCAGGCTGGAGTGCAGTGGCACATCATAGCTCTCTGCAGCCTCAAACTCCTGGGCTCAAGTGATCTTCTCTTTTTGGCTTGCCAAAGCATTGGGATTACAGGCGTGAGTCACTGCACGCAGCCCTAAGTATCTACTTTTAATGACTCAAATCAAGTTTTACATTGGAGGTTAAAAAATAATTTTCTCATTCTATCAGTCCTTCTACATTTATGAGTGGATGAAATAAATATGCTTTAATAAACACTGAATAACCAGCCAGGTGTGGTGACTCATGCCTGTAATCCCAGTACTTTGGGAGGCCAAGGCAGGAGGATCACTTGAGGCCAGGAATTTGAGACCAGCCTCTGGTCTCTCTCTCTCTCTCTCTCATCTCTATCTCTATCTCTCTCTCTATATATATAACTAAATTTAAAAATAAACACTGAATGAAATGACAAAATTTCATCAACTAAGCAAAGTGATACAAATTTTATCACCAGGCCTTAGTACGTAATGAAATTCTGATCTCCAGCTGTTCAACTAGTCTCTCCAAGTTCAAAGGTAGATAATGGCATCCAAAAGTGCCTGGGATACCTCAGGATTTCAGTTCATTTCCAACTACAACACACCCTGAGCCAATCACCTAAGCCAAGTACTTTCACACATCAGTTTGAGTGTTACCACCTCTAGGAAGCTGATTCTCATTAGCCCGAGGTAGAGACAATTGCTCTTATATATGCCCAAGCCATCCACAAAGCTCCGTCAGGGCACCTCTGACACTTCATTGCATGTAATTACTGTTGAGTTTACTTCCCTCCTCTGGAGAAGCCAAGGGAGAATAAGAATCTTTGCTTACTGGTTTTCTCACCCATAGCATCTAGGACAATGTTTAATTGACATTGAATTCACAGGCATAATCTATATCATCTAAAAAAAAACCCCTGAGAGTTAAGTGGGACATATATCATTTGTTTGTTTTATGCAGAGAAAAATTCAGAGAGGTTATTATTTCAGAGGTCTGATTTTGTATCTACCCAAGAATAAATTCCAATGATGCTCATTCAGTAGTTTTAGGGATTTCCAGGAATAGGAAAACATCCCAAATGTTCTGTCATAAAATACATTGCTCATTTCTCCAAACCTCCCCATCTTGAATGTTCTTTCCATTTTTCTGATTTTTTTTTTAGATGGAGTTTTGCTCTTGTCCCCGAGACTGGAATGCAATGGCGCGATCTCGGCTCACTGCAACCTCCACCTCCTGGGTTCAAACAATTCTCCTGCCTCAGCCTCCTGAGTAGCTGGGATTACAGGCACCTGTCACCATGCCCAGCTAATTTTTGTATTTTTAGTAGAGATGGGGTTTCACCATGTTGGCCAGGCTGGTCTCGAACTCCTGACCTCAGATGATCCGCCTGCCTTGGCCTCCCAACGTGCTGGGATTACAGGCGTGATCCACTGTGCCCGGCCATTTTTCTGATTATTAAAGCTATTATTTGGTAACAGAAACAGAGGCAAGGAAAGACTACGTAACTTGCCTCCATCATACTCTTAGAACACAAAGGGGTCAGGATTTCCCTGGACAGTCCACAGCATGGGCTTGAACCCTTTCATAATAGAGCCTTCATCTTGTTTTGGTGCAGACTGAGTATCAGGCCTGAGAAAGAGGAACCGCTTAAAGAGGAATTGTTAGTCTTCTCATTTACAGGAGGAAATCCATCTCAAAGGGGGATCAGGTAACTTCCCAAGTAGTGGCTAGTAACTAGTAAAATTAGGGTTCTGAACCCAGATGACCTGACTCCACAGGCGGAGGTCTTCATGGTTGATCCACTGCCTCTTTAAATTCCCCTTTCTGAGTCCAAGAGCACCTTCTTTCTTACAATTAGACTTTACAGAGGACGGGAAATCAGCAGTTGTGCCAAGTCTAACACCAGCCACCATTTGTTGAGCACGGACTGTGTTCCAGGAAGTGTTCTGAGTATTTTAAGCATGTTACCACATTTCATCCCCACTTCCAGCCTGTAAAGTAGATGTTGCTCTAAGCATAAAACATTCTCACTTAATTCTCACAACCAACATCTTTATGAAAATCATGGAGGTTTTAACTCAGAAGTATAACTCAGTTATGAAAATGTTCACAGAATAACCAATGTAGTACAGAACAACTCACAACTGTAACATTCCGGATAAGAAAGAGAATTCTGGATTTTTTTTTTTTTTTGACACAAGTCTTTCTCTGTTGCCCAAACTGGAATGCAGTGGCACGATCATGGTTCAGTGAGCCTTGACCTCCCTGGTCAAGCAATCCTCCCAACTCAGCCTTCCAAGTAGCTGGGACCACAGGTGCCATCCCCACGCCCAGCTAATTGTATTATTAGTAGAGATGGGGTTTCACCATGTTGCCCAGGCTAGTCTTAAACTCCTGGGCTCAAATGATCTCCTCGCCTCAGCCTCTGAAAGTGTTGGAATTACAGGTATGAGCCTCCATGCCTGGCCTGGGCATCTTTTTACTATGAAAACAGCAAAAAGATCAGTGGTTGCCAGGGGTTCGGAGGAGAGAGGAAGGGACGAACAGGTGGAGCACAAGTGATTCATAGGGCAGTGAAATCATTCTGTATAATACTGCCAGAGTGGATGCATGTCATTATACATTTGTCAAAACCCAGAGAAGGTACAATGCAAAGAGTGAACCCTAATGTAAACTGTGGACTTTAGTTAATAATAATATATTAATATTGGCTCATCAATTGTAACAGACATACCACACTGATGCAAGATGTTAATAATAGTGGAAAATGGGGGTGGGGATGTATATGGTAACTCTATGTACTTTCCACTCATTTTTCTGTAAATCTAAAACTGCACCAAAAATTGCCTATTAATTAAAAATATGTATCTAGGCTGGGCATGGTGGCTCACATCTGTAATCTCAGCACTTTGGGAGGCTGAGGCGGGTGGATCACCTGAGGTCAGGAGTCCGAGACCAGCCTGGCCAACATGGTGAAGCCCCTTCTCTAATAAAAATGCAAAAAAATTAGCTGGGTGTGGTGGCAGGCACCTATAATCCCAGCTACATGGGAGGCTGAGGCAGGAGAATCACTTGTACCCAGGAGGTGGAAGTTGCAGTGAGCTGAGATCACGCTACTGCATTCCAGCCTGGGCAACAAGAGTGAAACTCCATCTCAAAAAAAAAAAAAAAAATCTGTGTCTATAGGTATAGATATCTGCACAAGAATAGGGATGTGTGGCAAAGAAAGAACAGTATTTGCAAGGTGCTCAATGTATCATGTTGCAATGTTCTTAAAATTGGTTTGATTGGCTTCTCAGTTAGCTTCTCTTCAACTTGTTCCTAGTGAACCACACTGCTTCAACAGAGTTGACAACAGTAAAGACCACGTCCCATAGCAAAACTAAAGGGAGTTTCCTTTCAGTAAGGAAAAAGAGTTGCATTATTAACAGGCATCCCTATGGTCTGAGGAAAGTGGCTTCTAGTATTTCTGAACTTAAACTAGGCAAAGTTTATGCAATAGGAAAACCCAGGTCATTTTGCCCCCAGAAAGACTGACATGAGAAAATATTACCATTGGCACTGAGAGTGACAACAAACAAACAAACAAACAATCAAACCAAGTGTTCTCATGGTTTTTAAACTAGGTGTATTTACTCTTTAACCAAAGCAAGTTCTAGCGGCAGAGATGGTACAAGGTACACCACAAGGGCAGTCATAAAAATCCATATTGGCCTGGAGCCCAAGGCAGGAGTCATCAGGGACAGAATCATTGCCACAGGTCCTTAGTTCCCTCTGTGCTCCATGGAGTGTGGAGAAGAGTGTCTTCCAGGTCAGCTGGTTGGGGGTCGGGAGGAGGGGGGAAACATGCACACCTGGAAACTAGGGCGTCTTTATGGCGTGAGCTCATTTTACCTCTTTTCTTTTTAAAGTCTAGATGAGACATGAACATTATGAACTGGAAATTAGAAAGAGAGGAGAAGTCAAAGAAGGAGACTTTCAGTGTTAGTTGGGAAAAACTACACTCAACATGCACTCATACACACGCCAGTAAGATCTTGCCTAGGGCGTACTTCGAGAGCCTGGAAATTAGAGGGCACAAGCATGAGAAAGTGAAGGTGAAGGTCAGTGGCCCTAAACGAAGCACTAGAGAGAAATAGAAAGATCTTATTACCAAAGTTTTTAGGTTTCATTTTTTTCTTAGTGGGGTGGGGATGGGGGATTGTGATTTAAAAAAGAAAGTAACACAGGTGCTTTTTTTTTTTTTTTTTTTTTTTTGAGACAAAGTCTCTCTCTATCTGGAGTGCAGTGGCATGATCTCGGCCCACTGCAAGCTCCACTTCCAGGATTCACGCCATTCTCCTGCCTTAGCCTCCCGATTAGCTGGGACTACAGGCGCCCGCCACCATGCCCAGATAATTTTTTTTGTGTTTTCAGTAGAGACGGGGTTTCACTGTGTTAGCCAGGATGGTCTCCATCTACTGACCTCGTGATCTGCCCGCCTCGGCCTCCCAAAGTGCTGGGATTACAGGCGTGAGCCACCACGCCTGGCCTGCTCACCACTATTTCTAATGACAAGTCCATCGATAATATTAATGTGGTTCCCTTCCACATAATGAATTTTTTTTTCTTGCTACTTTTAAGATTTCCTCCTTGTCTTTGGCTTTCAACGATTTGATTCTGACATCTCTAAGTGCAGATCTCTTTCTGTCTATCCCACTTGGAATTCTTTGACCTTCTTGGGTGTATAGATTAATAATTTCCATCATGTCTGGGAAATTTTGGGCTATTACTTCTTCCAATACAGTTGACCTTTGAACAATGCAGAGGTTAGGGGCACCAACCCCACACACAATAAAAAATCTGCATATGCTGACTCCTTAAAAACTACTGTTGACCAGAAGCCTTACCTATAATATAAACTGTCAGTTAATACATATTTTGTATTTTATGTGTATTATATACTGCATTCTTATAATAAGGTAAGCTAGAGAAAAGATAAAATTATAAGGAAGAGAAATATATTTGTTATTCATCAAGTAAAAGTGGATTATCATAAAGGTCTTCATCCACATCATCTTCACATTGAGTAGGCTGAAGAGGAAGAGAAAGAGAAGGGGAAGGGTTGGTCTTGCTGTCTCAGGGGTGGCTGAGGCAGAAGAGGTGAAGGTGGGAGAAGGGGAGGCAGGGGAGGCAGGTGAGGCAGGCACACTTCATGTAAATTTATGGAAATACATTAGTAGTTTTTTGTTTGTTTGTTTTTGTTTTTTTAATAGCTGCTCTTCAAATTGCTGTGTGTCTGGTCAATTTCCAGTGTCTTGAAATGATTGTTTTGGAACATTTTTATCCAGTTTTATCATTGCATTTTGAGGCAAGTATGTGCTAAGTGTCCCTCTCAGCCATTTGGAAGTCCTGCTTCCTGCAAGACATTTTAAGACCCAACTTTTAAAGCCACACGTCACTTCTGCCTCATTCTATTAGTCAAAGCAAGTCACAAGGCCAGCCACATTAAGAGAATGGGAAAATAGATGCTACTTCTTGATGGGAAAAGTGGCAAAAAGTTACAATGTTAAGTGGCAAGTATACAAAGACAGGGGAATTTGTGCAATCAGGTTGCCAGCAATTTATTACAATGTGAACAGATAGAACTAGAGATAGAACTATGGACACGAATATGATTATGGACACAGATGTGGATCTGTGTATAGATGTATAGACAGAGGTATACATTTAGGTAATTATATATATAATTAGGTAATTAAAGCTTCCTTATCTCTATGACTGAGAAGCAAAAGACATGTTAAAGAAGAGACAGAAATAAAAGAAGCTATTGAAAATAAAGCTGCTATTTTAGACCTAGCATACAAAGTCTTTGCAATGCCCAAATTAAAGTAAATTTAAGTAAAACATAATGTAGTATACATTTGAAAATTTGTTAAGAGAGTAGGTCTCATGTTAAGTGTTCTAACACAGTATTTTTTAAAAACTCCAACCTTTTAAATAAAATAGCCTGAGAGAAAAAAATATGTATGCTTATGAAGGGATACTGATCACTACAATTTCCTATTCTAACTCACTAGCACAGCTGGCTATAGCACAGTCCTAATGAGGCCCTTTCAAAGTCCTCTAGTCATAGATAGAGACCTACAGGTGTGGGTCCCATGCACACAGTACTTTGAGCTGCTGTGTGGCTAACATCCCTGCTGTGTTCTGGTTCCTCAAGTTTACGGCCCCTGAGCCAGTCAAGCCTCATGAAGGCAAAGGCTGCTGTGCTGCTGTACTCCACTGCTGGCCCTGTCTTGTAATGGCCCTCCATGCATACTGTGGCTGCTAGCCCAGATGCAGTCCCCAACAACCAGCAGGTGCAGTGTTACCAGGGCTGGCCAGATCTTCTGTTGGTGCTGCCTGATGTCAGGAGCCAGGTCTCTCTGTCTCTCTTACACCGACAGGCACAGGCAAAAGTCAAAATGGGCAAGCTGAGCTAAGAGACAGACACTGCTGTCTTCAGAAGTCTTCTTCCTCCCATGCTGAGTACTGGTCTAGACGATACTTGAGGGCCTACTTTCTTCCCTTAGGATGAATGTTTCTTTAAGAGGCAATTCAGTCTTGATATAAACAGACTCTTGGAGGATCTGTACCACCTCTCCTCAATCTAGACATACTGAGACAAAGTTGAGAGTCTCTATTAAGTTCTATTAACTTTAAGCTGCGATCCCTACAATAATATCTTCAGATGCAGTGTTTGGCACTGCTCAATAGATATGTCTGTGTAGACTGGGCCAAGACATTGGCACTGAATTTCCATGTAACTAACATTATTATTCATATTGTACAAGTAGCAACAGATTGAAAAAGTATTTTTTCTGATGTCTTTTGTTCTGATAAATGTTTTCATACACAGGGGAAAGAATAACTTTCATGAAAAATATTAGACTGACTTTTTACCTTGATATGCTAAAAAATGTTTTTTGATAATAAAACTTGGATAATTCATTTTGGGAAACTACCTATTTAGTGTAATTTGCTGCATCTGTGTGATTTTCAATGTGTTATTTTGCCTGGAGATTAAGGCATAATCTCTTGGAACACTCTGTTTTAACATTAGAAAGGAAAGATGACTAACATGCATAATTTTGTTTCTTGTTTTTGTTTTCTTTTCTTGGTCATAATTATATGAGTGAATAAGCTATTTCTTGGGGCAAAGTTAGCTTTTTATTTTTCCTGATGTTACATTCACTTTTTGGGCAAAGAAAATTTTACTTAGTACATTAAGGTTGAATCTTAATTAGTGGCCTAAAGGAGTAAACATACCTCCTATCTTGATTTATTTCTTGCCCATTAAGTAATTTCTCTAATAGGTCTGGGATCTAGAGAAATTAGAATTTCTCTAATTCATGCAGAATTGAATATTTAGTTTTCCCTTAAATCTGAAATGCTATAATGCCTGATTTTTCAACATATGGAAATGCTAGCAATAAGTAAATGATATAATTACCTAGGAATTTTATTTTTTAGTTAAAATATTTTAAATATTACTCCAAATTCTGCAATGTTTTATGATTATAAAACTCATTTGATTTTTAAAGTATAATAATTCAAGAACACCCACTGAAAAGGTATTTCCTTTAAAAAAAAAACTCACAAAGAACTAGAACCTACTAGTTCCTAAACATGAGTATATTTACACATTCTAATGGTGGCTTTTAAAAGTTACTATGCTTTTAGTTCTCATGCTCTTGGGATTATTCACATAGAAATCTATTATTTGACTACAGTGGAAACACTGAGAATGATATTTCTTCAAAAATAGATAAAAGGAAAGTATGGTTGGCATTTTCACTTTGGAAATACAGGACTATCTATATTTGGTACAGTTGTATGAATCATAATTAGGAAGTATGGAAATTTTTTTAAAAAGTTACAAAGTAGTTGGGAATATTTCTTTTGTAATGAGGGAGAAGAGACTGTAAATCAGGAAAGAGATTTACTTGGATATAACAAACTGTTGGAATTCTTCCTGAGATTTGCATGCATGGACAACTCTGTTTAAATTCATGCCATCTCCTCCTACCACTGCTCCCTCTTAGTCTCGTTTCTTTCAAGTACACTTTAGAGGAAAACATTTTTATAGAAGTAATGTACACAGCTTCACATATGGTTACAACTATCTTTGTGTAACAGGCTGTAAATCACAGCATTTAAGTGTAAGCATGTCTGTGTGTCAGAATGATAAGGTTTTTGCAAAAGACAATCCAAATACAGTTTCATCATGTGAAATCTGGAAGTAAGTAATTTTAATTCCACATCAAGTTAAGTTTTGTACAAACACCATTTATTTCTAACTACGGGCCCCTGGATTGTCACCACAGAAAATGTTTCACATTCTAATGGTGGTTTTTTATGAACAGAGAGGGCTAGATTTGAGACTTCTTAAGTGAGCTGGATTTAATGAGTTACATCAATGTGTGGAATAGCACTTGGCACAAAATAAATTCATATTTGAATTAGCTTTCACCATGTAGAATAGTAGGAGTAGTAGATAAAAATCAATGGATAAGAGTAAGAGTAAGGGTAGAGTAAGAGTTACATATTCATCACAATAACTCCCTCCACAGCACAGCAAAATGCCAAGAGATGAAGTTTAGTAGAATCCAAAGGAGAAGGTTAAATTGGGAAGAATTTCCAAAAATCTTTATCTTGTAACTATTTGATTTATCTTGTTACTTACTTCTAGAAGCAGTTTAGCAGACAAAGAGATAAGAAACACACCTACAACTTCCCCTGTGTAACTGGAGTGTCTAAGCTTCAATTTGGCACACAATAGCTGTCCCCTGGGAACAATCCAAAGTATGACACTCATGCTTATATGAACAGGAAGATCAGATTATCTTCCTTTCTAGGTTTTCTTTGCTTTAGTATGCCCCAGAGTCCCACAGAATGCTTATTTGTTACACAGACCAGCCATGTTTTCTTTTGGCTTGGAAAACTGAGTTTTGGCTGGAACTCAGATTGCCCCCCTTTAAGAATGATGAACTCTACAAATGCTCTGAGAAGTTGGGGTCCAGAACATGTTTCACTGCTTCTACCTGTTATTGCAGTAGAAACCTAGGTACTGTGAGGAAATTCTCCATTCATCACAGCTGGCATACATCATGAATTAAAATTCTACCCACTCTCTCTCAACTCACCCCATGCAAAAGAGAATACCTGGTAGATTTATTTTTTTAAAATGGCATGTTCTTCTGTTCTGGAACTTTGTATAGTTTAGCTGCTTACTTATGGATGTGGGATGGAATACAAAAGGGAACCCAGTCTGGGATAGGACAGGAGAGGGATAAAGTCAACAATTACACCCCAAAGATGCTATGCTGACATTTGCCAGATTTAGTGCACTATCCACATATCAAGTGGATACAAAACACCCCAGCACATGCCTACATGAAACCTGAGTGATTCTCCAGAGTTATGGGGACCATTAGAGGAAGACAGAGAACTTACTCTCCTTTCTATGCATGAGAATGGACGGATCTAAGAAAACTCCTACTCCCTGTCTGAGTTTTTACAGAACATCTCCAAAGCAGAGATCATATTTTTAAAGAACCTACATTAGCTCACATGGAAATAAATTCATCTTTTAATTTTTAAAAATAATTTATTTTTCTTTATTTTAAAAGAAAATAGAGATAGGATCTCACCATGTTGTCCAGGCTGGTCTTGAACTCTTGGGCTCAAGAGATCCTCCCAGCCTCCCAAAGTGCTGGGATTACAGGCATGAGCCACTGTGCCCCACCCATCATTTAATTTTTAAAATAACTTTGCGAAAATGACAGCTTAAGATGCTGCAAGGAATATAGAAGAGTCTAAAATGGAAGTGCCTGTGATCTAACAGGGAAAATAAGTCACACATTTATCAAAAGTATCATAACAGAAGAGGTGAGGTAAATAATGTAAAGTGCCAATTGGAGAAATGTCATAGGGTAATCAAATAAATAGTAGAGAAAATTCATAATATTTTTAAGTTCAGAGGAATCAGAGGAATGTGATTCCTCTGTGAAAGCCACTAGGGTGGGATGGCTTAAAGAAAGACCCCATGGCCTCACGGAACTTGCGAACTTGCGCTGTACTTGATGGGATTTCAATGAGCAATTCTAAATTTTTTCACCCACAAGATTTGTTGTGACTTATTTCCATATAACTTTTGTTTCATAGCATCACCTTTAGAGAAAAAGGAAAGTTTCAAGAAAGGTAAATTGGCAATGAATATAAAATTTAGCATTCCCCACAGTAGAAACTCTAAAATATTACATCTTAGAGACAGTGGACTCCCAACTGCTCCTGGGCTCTCAGCTAGGATAGTGCTACAAAACTGCTTTTAAACTCTTACCTCACAAAGGTGTGGAGGGAGACACATTGTTCATAAGAAGGGCACCATGAGCACCAGTTCATTGAGTCCATAACAGTGTGAGAAATTGCCCATCATTCTGATCGTTACCTGATTCAGTGAACATGACTAATGGACAACAGTCAAGACCTCTGCAATACTGCTGTGTATGTCCATGCAAGATTGGTAGCATCATTTTTCTACTGCCCATAGAAGTATCTTATAGTCAGACGCTAAGAAAACTGCTGAATGTGGAAGTGCTTGCCGATGAAGCAGAGACAGTATGCTGTTGACCTCCCCAAAGGCACAGAAGAGCAATAATGTTCTGCATGTAGCAGAGAAATGTTAAAAAGAGGTAGTGAAAGGGAACACTCAGAATTGGACGAATGAAGATAATTAAACCCATGAGGAGGCTATGTGCCCTCCTTCAGAGCAAAGGTAAATCAAGGCAAGTTAGACAAAGGTGCCATACCCTCGGAGAGATAAGAGTATGGATAAATAGTCA
Organism: Homo sapiens; assembly: GCF_000001405.40. NCBI lineage: Eukaryota > Metazoa > Chordata > Mammalia > Primates > Hominidae > Homo > Homo sapiens. Next base: position 110,457,380 of record NC_000004.12, read on the forward strand.
CTATAATTAGAACTTAATAGATGAGCCCTCCATTGCATGGCTTATAAGTGAAGGTAAAACATGCCCAAGGATTATGAGATTATTTTCCTAGCTTGACTTGATTGTGTCACTCAAAATATAAAGCATGAATTTCAAAATATCTCACATAAAGTTTGATATTTTATTGTATTAAAAAAAGTACATTTGCCATTATAATTACTTTTCAAAGGGTGAAATTTCAGAAAGTCTTCTTTAGTTTATTGTCCACTTCCTATTGCATCTGACTTGTAATGTTGCATTGAACTTTTCTCTCATGCTGTGAATTTACCATGTAAATTTTCAAGCACTATGATTGCTTGAAGAGAGGATGTCATGCAATTGTTATTGCAGAAAAATATATCTGAAAATTATACTTTTCAGATATAATGTCAAATCTTTGTTTTTATTATTCCAGTACTTATCAGAAATTTTAAAAGTATTTCAACCTGAAGAGTATGTATTGATAATTATATCCAGAAATTGTATCCTAATTTATTTTCCTTTTAAAAATAAGTACCAGCCGGCTGCAGTGGCTCACGCCTGCAATCCCAGCCAAGGCGGGTGGATCATGAGGTCAGGAATTTGAGACCATTCTGGCCAACATGGTGAAACCCCATCTCTATTAAAGATACAAAAATTAGCCAGGCCTGGTGGTGCATGCCTGTAATCCCAGCTACTTGGGAGGCTGAGGCAGGAGAATTGCTTGAACCCGGGAGTGAGCCGAGATCGTGCCATTGCACTCCAGCCTGGGTGATAGAGCAAGACTCCATCTCAAAAAAAAAAAAAAAAGTACCAATACTTAAATAAAATAACACTACTGCACTATTCACATCAGTAGTGGAATTATGTATATTGTGTTGTGAATACCAAGATGGATTCACATCCCAGGGCATGTTCGCCAAGCAGAGGTAACCATGGAATGAAGCATGTGAGAGACAGATAACCATGTAAATTAATACTGTTGAAGCTACTGTGTGTGATACTTATGCTTGAGTTTTACATCTTCAAAAGACAGAGATAAATGAAAAACACCACCTTATAATCACCATTCCAAATTGAAGCCAAATCCCTAAACTCAAAAATGTTTTTCAAAACTTTATGTTAATTGTTGATTTAGTTATTGCCAATTTTATTGTTAGCTTTCTATGTGGCAGGCACTGTGACAAAGAAATATTAATATTATAGAAATAGGTAAGCCCATAACTAATAAACATTCAATCTTATTAGATGTAGTGGAAAGAGCCCTGGACTGGGTGTCTAAAGTTGATTCTGCCTTTGCCTGTCTTAGTGACCTTTGGAAGGTTCCTTAGCCTCACCCTGGGTTTTAGTTGTCGTATCTGTTATCTGCAATTATATCTAAATTACATTGCAGCCTTAAATTTTCATGTTCTTATGAAAGATAAATTTGTCTTTATTTTTAAGTCAATTGCAGGTATAAGCAGTTATGGTTGAATACATTTTTAGGATGAATTAGAAAAATTGATTAGGTCATAATGCTAATGAAGCCATGTTCATAATTCCCATTTTGAACTAAGTTCTAAAACAGACACTCTCCAGCCTTGCAGATGAACATTCTGATTGCAGATTAGGGCACGGGTGTGGTTAGAAGGCATGATAAGAACTTGGCTAGATAAGAGACAATTCCACTAAAAGCACCTGCTTCTAATAGCACTACAGTTTCACCTTTGTAGATCAAAGGACAACATGAAATTTCATTGATTAGGCTGATTTTCCATTACTGGAACGAATGGGAATCTCTCCAGGAACTTGAATGTTGAAGGGTGGGGGTGAAATCAGACCATTGGCATTTTGGTGGTGGCCTGAAAAGGCTCTAACAGTTTGAGAATGGTGATGGAGAAACGGAAGGAACTAGGAGAAAGGACTCTCTCTACTCAGAGAGAGAGTAGGAGAAGAGAGAAGGAGAACGTGCTCCTTGTTTCCTGAACAGCAGACCATGTAGCCTTTTTTAGGAGTAAACAGGGTGCAGTACTGTGCACTACTCAAGTTAATTTTTATTCAATCCCAAAACAAAATATATTTATTATGTACCTGCTATCTATACCTAGAACATTTCTAGGCAATGAGGATACAAGAAAAAGTCCCTGCTTGGTAGAACTTACATTGTAGTTGGGGAGACAGAGAATGCACATTAACAAACAAGTAAAGTAACTTCAGATGGGGAAAAGGCTCTGAATGGAACAGAAAGGGTTGAGGAGGCAGTAGAAGGAGATGGTCCTGTCTGTGGAGATGACATTTGAGATGAGGCATGAATGGCAAGAAGACAGGCTTGTAAAGATGTTGAAGAAATGTGTTTTAAGCAAGCAGAATAGTTCAGAAATGAGGCTCCAGAGTATTCCCAGAACAGAAAGAAGGCTCAAGAGCATGGCACCTAGGGGAAAAGAAGAAAAGAGATCTTGTAGGTACTTGCAGGCCAAGAAAAGTGTTTCATTGTTGTTCCAATTGCACTGGGAAGCCATGGAGAGTTTTAAGCAGGAGGGTATTGCGATTTATGTTTTTAAAAGATTACTATGGCTGCTGTAGATACTGCACTTTTCTATATAAAGTTTACTTTTTTCTTTCTCATGAGAAAAAGTAAACTTTATATAGAAAAAGTTTCTAAAGCTTTTCATTAATAAAAAATAAAATCAGATTTAAAATATGAAACATATGCTTTATCTGCGTGTGTATCTGAATGTCAGATGTCTTCAATAAGGGCTTATTAAGGTATATTTGTTATTTGACCATCCTGTAATCCATGTTGTAAAAACAGTCTCCAAGGGAAGGAGTAATATGTAATAACACCCTAAAAAGAGACCCGGGGTGGGCAGGCTGTGTGGGAAGTGGGACAGATGACCAGAGGGGAGTGTATAACCCATGTAATGTAAATCTCAGCACAATAAGGAAGTCAACAATCAAAAACACAATGTATGGAAAATGCAAAACAGGGGAGCCCAGATAAGGAATTAAACCTACCCTAGTAAACTAGAGGTATGGAATGATGATGGGAATGGATTTACAAAATCCAAATGCAAAGGGATTTTGTGGTTTTGTAAATTCATTCCTATCATCATTCCATACTCTTTTCTTAGTTTAATAAACTGACTGAATCAAGATTTGGAGGAGTATTATTACAGTACAGGGAAGTAGCAGATGTGAATAAACATCTCTAGTTTTCTAGAAGGACTTTGGCCCGTATACTGATAATGTATGCGTATGTCTGTGTATGTTTATTTTTTTCATACTAAAGAAACATATCTTCAGAAAAATACTCCAAAATAAAATAAAAACAACATAAAACTGCAAAAGAGGCCTGGCGTGGTGGCTCATGCCTGTAATCCCATCACTTTGGGAGGCCGAGGTGGGCGGACCACGAGGTCAGGAGTTCAAGACTAGCCTGGCCAACATGGTGAAACCCTGTCTCTACTAAAAATACAAAAATTAGCTGGGCATGGTGGTGCATGCCTGTAATCCCAGCTACCTGGGAGGCTGAGGCTGGAGAATTGCTTGAACTGGGACCCGGGAGGCCGAGGTTGCAGTGAGCCGTGATCACACCACTGCATTCCCTGCACTCCAGCCTGGGCTACAGAGCGAGACTCTATCTCACAAAAAAAAAAAAAAAAAAAAAAAAAAAGCTGCAAAAGAGTTTTCCCATAGCTGTATATACTGCTCAAGAAAACCAATGTTTAATATTGTATTATTTCATTTCCTGTCTTTTTTCTATGTATATATTTTTGCAATAGCAGTTTTATATAGTTCATTTCATTTTGTTGCTTGCTTTTTTCACTTTATGTATATGTATATTAAATTATTTGCATGTTCTTCTTTTTCTACAATAAGGCTGTATTGGTTAGTAATTAAAACAGTTAAATACAGCATCATAATAAAAATCCATTTGTATCTTACAGAGAAAAGCTACCTAAATGCTGTTATATGAACATAGTTAAACTTTTACATTTATAATTAAAACAGGAAATAAACTTTTTTTCAACTTAAGTTTGATCTGGCCATTATTTTATCCACTTATTCCATCCAGATGATGTCTTCTATGAATTTGGTACCATGCAATGTAGTATGAATACAAAGGGATTAGAAAACATAATGAATGACTCTAATCTCAAAATATTGTGTGTGTGGGGGGGAAGGCACATATTATGTCAAGAAAGTACAAAATAACTTAAAATAGCAAATAAGATGGAATACAACATAAGTTCTGCAGTACCTTGGAACAAAGAGAAATCAATTCCATGAAAGCGAGGTTAGTTTCTTTGACCAAACACATTTTTGTGCTACACATTGTACAAAATGTCATGAACACAAGCAAGCATAAGATAGTCTTAAAGCTCTAGAGCCGTGCTGTTCACTAGGGCAGCGACTGGCCACATGTGCGTATTGAACACTTGAAATGGTTAGTCCTAAGTGAGATGTGGTATAAGCATAAAACATGCTAGGTTTTGATGTTATCCAACAAATGTAAAATACATTATTAACTTTTATATTAAGTACATATTTTTATTTTGAGCACACGAAACAATAATATTTCAGACAGATAAATTGGGTTAAATAAACCATAATATTAAAATTATTTTCACCTGGTTCTTTTTGAATTTTTAATGTGGCTACTAAGAAAGTTTATATTTACACATATGGCTATGGCTCACACTATCTCTTTTTTTTTTTTTTTTTTTTTTTTTTTTTGAGACGGAGTCTCACTCTGTCGCCCAGGCTGGAGTGCAGTGGCGGGATCTCGGCTCACTGCAAGCTCCGCCTCCCGGGTTCACGCCATTCTCCTGCCTCAGCCTCCCAAGTAGCTGGGACTACAGGCGCCCGCCACTACGCCCGGCTAATTTTTTTGTATTTTTAGTAGAGACGGGGTTTCACCGTTTTAGCCGGGATGGTCTCGATCTCCTGACCTCGTGATCCGCCCGCCTCGGCCTCCCAAAGTGCTGGGATTACAGGCGTGAGCCACCGCGCCCGGCCGACTCACACTATCTCTTATTAATCGGTGCTGCTCTGGATTTTTAAAATTCAAACAAGAAAATGGCAAATTAAAGCTATACAAAATAACCTATACAAAGTGCCAAGAGATGAGAAAGAGAAGCTACAAATTGACAAGCACCTATAATATATCTAGCCGTCTGTGAGAGAGAGGGAAGGTCTTGGTTGATACTGAGGAAAATGATTGTAATGCTGATGGAGAAATGAAACATGGTAAGGAGTGCAGAGCTACAGTGTTTCTGTGGGGAGTGATACTCTTTAGCTTTAGACCAACTGAATTGTTGGTGGAATATGCAAGTGGACACAGGTAGGCATAGTTTTGACCTTGACTCTCAGGAGAAAATTCATACTCGTGATGAAATCTGTGGGTTCTTTGAGTAGATGTGATGGTTGATGTCATAAGATTGAGTTATCCAAAGGTGTGAGAGGGAGAAGAGAAAATATCTGACTTGTGGAGGAAGTGCATTTAGAGGGAGGAGGCGAAGACTTTGGAGAAGACAGCAAGCATGGGTTGAGAAGAAGCTGAGCAATGTAGTGTCATCGAAGCCAAGGGAGAAGAAGATGAGGGCAGGAATGGTTCATTCATTTTTTTTCTCCATGTTTTTATTTATATTAGTTCAATTTCATGCAGTAACATTTATTACATACCTACTTTATGTCAGGTCTTGTGAGGATTTCTGGAGATTCAGCAATAAATATGTGGTGTAGAAAATAGTGTGGTGAAAGGGGAGACAAGCAAGGATGGCTATGGAAATGGAAAGAAAAATTTAGAGATCATTGAACTTTGCATTAATGACAACTGGTAACCAAAGCTACTGGGATCACACCACCACAACAAGAACCTAAACTAAGCAAACAGAATTGGAGGATTACTAAATAAGGTACATAATAAAGGTAACCAAATATTTATTTATTTATTTATTTTTGAGACAGTGTCTCTTTCTGTCGTCCAGGCTGGAGCGCAGTGATACAATCTCTGCTCACTGCAACCTCTGCCTCCTGGGTTCAGTTGATTCTCATGCCTCAGCCTCCCGAGTATCTGGGATTACAAGTGTGGGCCATCACGCCCGACTAAATTTTGTGTTTTTAGTAAAGATGGGGTTTCACGATGTTGGCAAGGCTGGTCTCAAACTGCTGACCGCAAGTGATCCACCTGCCTTGGCCTCCCAGTGTGTTGGGATTACAGACCTCAGCCACCACGCCTGGCCACTAAATATTTAATTATATGTACTTTTGCCGAATAGATATAGCTAAAGCAGTTTTTCAACCTCAGCCCCACTGACATTTGGATTAAACAATGCATAGGGAGGCTGTCCCATGCATTGTAGGATGTTCAGCAGCATCCAGGACCTCTACCCCAATCCACCTTCTTCCTCAGTTGTGACAATCAAAAATCTCCAGATACTGCCAAATGTCCTCTGGGAGGATAGCAAAATTACTCGTTTTTTTGTTGTTTTGTTTTGTTTGTTTGTTTTGAGATGGAGTTTTGCTCTTGTTGCCCAAGCTGGAGTGCAATGGCGTGATCTCGGCTCACTGAAACCTCTGCCGCCTAGGTTCAAGCAATTCTCCTGCCTCAGCCTCCTGAGTAACTGGGACTACAGGTGCACACCACCATGTCTGGCTAACTTTTGTATTTTTAGTAGATACGGGGTTTTACTCTGTTGGCCAGGCTGGTCTTGAACTCTTGACCTAGGGATCCACTTGCCTCGGCCTCCTAATTTTTTATATTTTTAGTAGAAACAGGTTTCACCATGTTAGCAAGGCTGGTCTCAAACTCCTGACCTCAGGTGATCCGCCCACCTCAGCCTCCCAAAGTGTTGGGATTACAGGCGTGAGCCACTGTGCTTGGCCCAAACTTACTCTTGATTGACAACCACTGACCTAAAATAACAATTGAGAGATGAAATAAAAAGAATACCTATGGTGAAGGGTATTCGTTAAAGTCATGCTTGCAGGTATTTCCTTCAGCTCTTGGCAGCTTAATACAACAGGCTTTTGTTAATTGCTCACATAAAGATCAGTTGGTGGTGTGGCGTTGGAAAGGAGGGTGTGTTCATTTGGAAGCTCAGGGTCCTTCCATCTTGTGATGCTTCCACCTTCCATATACGGCATTTGAGATCTCCCTGGATGGCAACATCATCTGGAGCCAAAGGAAGAGAGAGCACAGGATTACACAGGTGGTTTTTATACACCAAGTCTGGGAGAGAATATACCACTTCTCTCCAGATCCTATTAGCCAAAACAGAGTCACATTTCCACAGTAAAGATGGCTGAGAAATTCTGTTCAACTGTGAGTCCAGGAAGATGGGAAATATATTTCATGAACAATTAGCCAATCACTGCCAATAAGCCAAAAGCTACCTTGAACCTCAAATGTAATTTTGTCTTTGATTATCAAAGGTGAATGTCTACATGGGTCAAATTAATCAAATTGTTAGACAAATGTCCATGTATTTTACTGCCATGTATGGACATAGTTGTTTTAGAGTCAGCAGTATCGAGTTTCAGATGCTAAAGAAAAGCAACAAAGCAAATAATTCTATACTAAATGACACATAGTCATTATGCAAATTATTTTATAGGCAATTGGGGAAAATGAGCAATGCCATCCTTCAGAAAGACGCAGAATAGAAGGATCGAGTATTATGATGGAAATCACAGGAATGGTTCAGAACTTGAATCATAGCCAGAATCACCACAGGAAAATGATGTGGCCAACTTCCTGGATGTGGATGTGGGTAAAGTTACTTTATATCTATAATGCTATATTTGAAACACATAAAAAAAAATCATTGAGAAAGCAAAATAGACAATTAAAATAATCACATAATTAAAATCATCTAAAATTTGAGAAGACTTGATGACTTCTTAAATCTACGATTTGTTTAAAAAATAGAATTACAATCAGTTTGTATTAAACAACATTAGTGCATCACACTTGGCCACCTTATTTTTGTTGTTCTTTCCGTATTCTAACATTTGTCATCATTTAACATATAAGCTAGGCAGTATTTATACTACCTAAATTACAAGGCTACTTTCTGAACACGCCAAGCAGTTAGGGACACCCCCAGGACACTAGAGGACAAAAAGTAATGCAATGTCCACCTCAATTGGCACATGTTGGGGTGGGGATTCTCTCAGTGTATTGATAGGCTTGACACCCAGATAAATATATATGTTGGATCTTGTAGTACAGTTTTCTTTAGAAACTGTATTATAAATGTGATTTGTTGTCAATGCTACCTGCAAAGGTCTGGATAGCCCATAATGTAGCTAAAATACAAAATTATTCATGGGGAGGTCTGGACTAGGCCATAAACAGTACCAAATTCTTTCTATTAGATTTGGAGTCAGCCTATGGTAAGTGGCAGCTGGGACTCATAATAACAAACTCATAACTTTGCTGGATGCACTAAAAAGACAGCAAATAAAAGACATCTGGGACCAAGTATGTGCCATGAAGGTTGGTTCTATTTCATTCGGTTTCCTTCCTCTTTTCTTCCACCTAAATATAATTACCTTAACTCCCATCTGTTTCTATGATATTCTGAAGTACAAATAAAATTATCTTTTGGAAAATAAAATAAGGAGTTACAGTACCTGAGCCATCTCTAGAAGCAGTGTGGGGTCTAGGGCAAATCACTTAGCATGGGACCCCTCACAGTAAACCAAGTCTGCTCAGGAAAAAAACAGTTAAAATAAATACTCAGAACAGCCTTGACAAGAAATAAACATAAACTGTGAGCATGTAGCTGAATAGTTTTTCTACAAGTGTGAAGAGAGAAGAGATTTTGCTTCTGTACAAATTTTAGCAGCAACAGTGAAACATTTTTCTTCTTATGTCCTGTCCATCTGAGTCATTGCACTGTACCAACAAAGTAAGTCCTAAAATGAGGGGAGGCCAGTATGGGACAGAGCAGCTAGGTGATCACCAAAGACACCTGCTTCTCTCTCTAAGGGTAGCGTTGTTGATACCTATGTATACCAGCCCCCTCGATATTAAGAGTAGCCATATGGACAGGGTGCAGTGGCTCCTGCCTGTAATCCCAGCACTTTGAGAGGCCAAGGTGGGTGCATCACTTGAGGTCAGGAGTTCGAGACCAGCCTGGCCACCACGACGAAAACTCGTCTCTACTAAAAATATAAAAATTATCTGGGTGTGGTGGTGCACGCCTGTAATCCCAGCTCCTCAGGAGGCTGAGGTGGGAGGATCTCTTGAACCTGGGAAATGGAGGTTGCAGTCAACTGAGATCTTGCCACTACACTCCAGCCTGGGTGACACAGCGAGACTCCTTCTCAGAAAAAAAAAAATAAATAAAAAATAAGAGAAGTCATATGATTCCTTATATTAGATTAGAATAGATTAGAATGGCCAATGAGTATAAGTGAAAGTAATGTGCATGACTTCTCGGCTGAGGTGACTAGTCATCCAGTGGAAGCTCCTCACGTTATTTTCTGTGGCATCCTTGGAGGCGATATGAAGAGGGAGGCACCGCAAGATGAAAAGAGGCTAAATCCCTGAGTCACTGCTTGGAAAAATGTTTCCCAATAGAGTTCTCCAACAAAGAATATGCACCTTGGATGTGGCCAGAGTGAGAAATCAATTTTTACTGTGTTCTACCACAGATATATTGGTACTCTTTATCTTGACATTAGACTCATCTTATTAATACACAGCATAATTGGCCAGATTGGGGTTGGTCTGAAGATAGCTGGCAAGTGAATGATATCAAGTGTAAAATTTACAGGAGATTAGAGAAGGATTGATCATTGAGGTCTGTCCGGATCAATGAAGGTTTGCTTGGGAAGAGAGGTAAGTTGGGTCCTGAGAATGTATTAGAAAAGAGGGAGAGGAAAAGAAACCCAGGCAGGAGCACGGTGATGACAATGTGTAGTTTATAACTTTAAGACATAAATAGATCAGTTTGGCTTGGAGGTAAATTTGAAAAGGGATTTTGAGAGGCTAGGAACCCTTTGGAGAGAAAGGAAGTGGGGTTTTGAGTCCCATACCAAGAACCTATCTTATCAGTGAGTGGGACTCACTGAAGATGTTTGCATAGTGCAATGGCAATGTGAAAGATGATTCTAGGAAAAAGTGAAGAGATAGGAGAGAAAAAAGAAAAGAAAAACCCAGCCAGTTAAGGTGCAGGAGAGGAGACGGGTGGCAGGTAGTGAAGGACAGGAAGTGAGAACTTCCTGTTCTCCTCAGCCCTGTCTTTCACTCTGCCATGAGTATCTTGCACTCAGGCCATGTTTGTGCTCCTCGAATTGTGGCAGCAGTATTATCGTCCACCCAAAAGCCATTTTCCCCTTCTTATTTGCCAACAAATATTCCGACTTTGTGGCAGCAATGTGTCCTGTTCTGGAGATGAACTGGTGTTATTCAAGTCAGTCGCTTCTATTACATTCCTCTCAACAGAATATGGTTGAAATTACAGAAGGAACTCGTGATTCAGGCCTGGACAAGGCGATATCAGGGGAAGCCTGCTGAGGGCTTCTGGGAAAGATCTTCTTCACTGATAAAAGGAAAGAACTACCTAAGAGAAAATCTTTTACTCTTCCTCCCTCTCTCCACTTCTTGCTTTCAAATGATATTGTGATAGTTGAAGCTGTGGCAGTCAGCTTGAGTCCACACAGTAGAGATGGTGGAATGAAAAGATAGGCAGAGCTTAGTTTCTTGATAGCATCATTGAGTGCCAAGGCATGTTGATAGTCTCTACCTCCAGACTCTTTTTTTGAGATAAGATCTTACTCCGTTGCCCAGGCTGGAGTGCAGTGGTGTAATCACAGCTCACTGCAACCTCGACCTCCCAGGCTCAAGTGACTCTCCTGCCTCAGCCTCCCGAGTACCTGGGACTACAGGCATGCACCATCACACCCAGCTAATTTTTGTATTTTCTGTAGAGATAGAATCTAATTTTGTTGCCCAGGCTGATCTCAAACTCCAGGGCTCAAGTGATCTACTTGCCTCAGCCTCCGAAAGAGCTGGGATTACAGGCGTGAGCCACCACATCCGGCCCCAGACTTCTTATGATGAGAGATAATTAGATGTCTTTATAGATTAAGCCACAATTAGCTAAGTTTTCTGTTATTTGGAACTGGAAGAATTCCTGACTACTCCAAAATAAATTCCTTCTCAAAAGGTATTACTATCTAAAGTTTTTGTATGCTCCAACCCATGGTGGGCTGTAGCTGATGATTTCACACATGGAGACATATCTGAATCCAGAGTAAAGAGATTTAAACAGTGAAGCTAAGACCCTTACAATACATGCACATAAATATCTTAAGCCCAGGTACAAATGATAAACCAAGAATGAAAGAGTCACATGAAAACCCTTTAAAAGCTGAATGGAAAGCGAGATATCAAAGGAAATTATCTAAAATACAGAAGTCAAACAGTCCACCAGACTAGCCATCATTGAGGACAATAGAAATAAATGAGGCAAAGCATTCAGAAGATGGAAGGAAATTACTGTACCCCCAAGAAATAGTGTTATTTTGCCCTGGATTTGTATATCATTGACCTTAAAAAAGCATCTGTAATGAAAGCTTCAAAATCAGAGGTGGGTATAAGATTTCCCCAGATATAAATTTAATGAAAGATTCAAATAAAATCAGTGGGAGTCATATTGCTTATACAAAATGACATACAGCCTGTTAACTGAACAAATAATTTATTAACACTGTAAACAAATATTATGCCATGAAGACAACTGGAAAATAAACACACAAAAATCTTTGAAACCTTGAGCAAAATACCTCCCAAAGAACAAAAACCAAGTTGTCAAGTATATCTTTAGAAAATCGGAAGTGAATGAAAAAAGAGAGTGTGTTCTTATTCAAAAAGCTAATATTCTATCTCATTGTGATCCTCTTTCTACTTGAAAAACAACTATTCTGTCCTGAGGCTATGTTTTCATTTGTGTTTTTATTTAGTGCTTTTCCAACATTTGAAGTGCCTGGGACATTATGGTTTTCAATAAATGTTTGTTGAGTGAATATGTAAAATCTGCTGTACTCTTTTTCTGTGGCTGCTGTAACAAATTACTACAGACTTGGCTTAAAATAACAGAAATGTATTCTTTCACATTTTTGGAGGCCAGAAGTCCAAAATGAATATCACTAGGCCAAAATCAAGGACAGCAGGGTCATCTTGATCCAGAAGCTGTAGGGGAGAATCTGTTGCTTCCCTCTTCTGGTGACTGCCAGCATTCCTTGGCTTGTGGCTGCATCACTCCAATCTTAAAGACCAGCACCTTCAATAGCACCTTCAAATCTCTCTCTGCTCTGTCTTTACATCACCTCTGTCTGTGTGTAAAATCTCTCTGCCTCCCTTTTATAAGGACACATGAGATCATATATTAGGACCTATCCTAATAGTACAGGATAATCTTCCAACTCAAGATCTTAAACTTAATCATATCTGCAAAGACACTTTAAAAAAAACTATATTTTGTAACATGCACAGGTTCCAGGGATTATCAAGTGGATATCTTTTGGAGGGGGGCATGTTTTTTTTTTAGCTTAAGGCAAAAGCATTCTAAAAAAGTCATAAACTGAAAACAGAAGAGATGCTAAATAAAGAGAACAGCAACAGGAGAAATAATGTTTCTATTATCCATATGGATGACTTTGATCATCTTAATGCAGTTTAAGTCTTTACTTCCAAGGAAAACAAAAATTGAAGACAACTTTATTTGGTTAAAGTTAATGTGGCAATAAAGAAATTTTCAAACCAAACAGCTAGCACTAATAAATAAAAATTGTAAAATTATAGGCCTTTTCTTTGAAATAAATAATTAATATTACCTAAGGTAAAGAAAGGGTGTATTAGAATTTTTGTGGAGAACATAATCCAAAATAATCATTGCTAGTATAATTCACTTGGACTCTTTATGGAGTAAAAGAATATTGGATGAAATAGTTTCCCTATACCAACGTTATTTTTGCAGACTTCTGCAGATAGAAGAGAAGAAAATATTGCCAAGAATTCTGATACCATAAAGGCTGAAAGGAAATGTTGAGTAAATTAAACATTTCAGGAAGTTTTAAAACTCTTCAGAATACAGAACTATTATTTAGTGCACTGAAAAAATATATATAATTTCAAAATTCTTAGAACAACAGAAATCTAGACTATATTATCACTATTATTTTTCTCCTGCTGTTTTTATATCCAACCACTTTCTCCCAATGCATTATTGCACATTAGGGAACTCAATACAAATGCAGTTAAAAATTATAGGAATCATAAATTTTTTAGTTTTATTTTGTTTGCTTTTCCAAATATTTTCAAAATCTCTACCTGCTGAGAACAAGGCAGGGCTTTACATATATGCCTTTAAGAATATTAAGAATATTCACTATTATTTCTTTTAAGGCTTACATTTTGAAGTTTATCTTAGCATTCCTTACCTAATAAATATTTGTTGGAAAGTAAATATTTATTTAGTCAACAAATATTTGTTGAGTTATTGAATGAATGAATAAATGAATAAATAAATAGTGGCTAAGAAACACTTTTCTGGCAGCAGGGGGTTGGGGGGCAGGGGAAGAAAGTGAAGTGAACAGATTCTCTCTAGAGTGATCCAAATGGCTAACAGGAGCATAATTCTTGCTTGTGAAATGACATCTCCTGGCATTCAGGGATTAGTGGTGAGAGACATTATGAGCATCAGTCTGGGTATCCCAGAAAACTGCAGAGAATTCTCAAATCAGCCTGGAAACAACAAGGAATAGAGAAGATAGAAACTTATTGTTTCACTGATTTTTATTTTTATTTTTTATTTTTTTGAGACAGAGTCTTGCTCTGTTGCCCAGGCTGGAGTGCAGTGACGTGATCTCAGCTCACTGCAACCTCACCCTCTGGGTTCAAGCGATTCTCCTGCCTCAGCCTCCTAAGTAGCTGGAATTACAGGTGCCCACCACCACGCCCAGCTAATGTTTGTACTTTTAATTGAGACAGGGTTTGACCATGTTGGCCAGGCTGGTCTTGAACTCCTGGCCTCAAATGATCCACCTGCCATGGCCTCCCAAAGTGCTGGGATTACAGGCGTGAGCCACCTCACCTGGCCTGATTTTTATTTTTTATTAAATTATGTTTGGTGTGTTTTGGAGGTTTATTTTCCTTCTCATCTATTTTGAAAGTCCTCCTTTTTCCTCTCCCTTTCCTTTGCCTCTTGTCTCTTTCTTCTTCTCCTTTTCCTCATCTTTCCTCCCTCTCCCTTTATTGTGCCAGTCATTGGACAAATTCATCATTTTCCCACCAATAAAAATTAGATGTGGCATGCTGAACATTTTATGTCTTAAAACTACTCCTGACATCTGCATCAGTTTTCAGCTCTTGGAAAAAGTTAATCTAGTTCACTTAGTCTTAAAACCAACTGAACCTTTTAAAACAGTTGTTGACGCCAAATAAAAGATGACAAATAGGGCACAGGCATTGGAAATACAGGTGAATTTACCAGCATCAGAAAGAACATGGCCAATATGGCTTTAGACCTCACGGTTAGCCAAGTCAGTTGCAATGACTCTCTCCTTTTTCAACTCTCACAGCTCACTAAACCTTTAAAGTTTGGAAATGGCTGAATTGACCAAGGGTGTTTATAGAATTTATGAGTTTAATAATAGTGGCCCTGTGGCAAGATGGAAAGAAACTGGTTCGGGCCCTCCTTGTTCCCTATGTATACAGCCTAATTTGCAGATTCTATTTCCTCCATTGTGAATCTAACTTGCCACTTTTTTTTTTTTTGAGACTGAGTCTCGCTCTGTCGCCCAGGCTGGAGTGCAATGGCATGATCTCGGCTCACTGCAACCTCCGACTCCTGGGTTCAAGCAGGATTCTCCCACCTCAGCCTCCCGAGTAGCTGGGATTACAGGCACCCGCCATCATGCCCTGCTAAGTTTTGTATTTTTGTAGAGTCGGGGTTTCACTGTGTTGGCCAGGCTAGTCTTGAACTCCTGACCTCAGGTGATCAGCCTTGAACCATAGCATTCAGCTCAGATCACTGATTAAAGGGCCAGCCAAATAATCACACAGTAGTGTTAATTGCTGACTACATTTCCTGAGATGCTCCTAGTGCCCAGGTGAGCCAGCAGCACATGTTATGGTATGGCTATGGCTTGTTTGTTCCAACGGAAACGCATGTTGAAATCGGATCCCCAGTGGCAGTGTTGTGAGGTGGGGTCTAATGGGAGGTGTTTAGGTCATGACAACTCTACCCTCATGGGTGGCTTGGTGCCCTTCTGTATTCTACAACAGTAAATGAATTCTTGCTCTGGCAAGACTGAATTAGTTCTTGTGGGAATGAATTAGCTCCCGTGAGACTGCGCTGTCATAGAGCCAGGATGCACCTTGGGTTTTGCAACTTTACACGTGTCTGCTTCCCTTTTGACCTTCCCTAACGTTGTAATGGTGTGAAAGCCCTCGCCAGAAGCCAAGCAGGTGCTGGTGCCATGCTTCTTGTGCTTCCTAGCCTACAGAAATGTGAGCTAAGTAATCCTCTTTTCTCTATAAATTACCCAGCCTCAGGTATATGTTATAGCAACAAAAAACAGACTAAGACAGCACCGTGTATACACAGAAGGCCCAATAGCTCTGTAGGATGTGTAATTCCTGGTACCTAATAGAAAAGCTTTAAATGGAAGCTGTAAGTGAAAAAGAGAGGTGCATACTTGGCCTTTGATGTTACAGTGAGTCTCTTGCATCAGTCTACCGCCTATGGGAAGGAATTTGCCAAGAATTTCCTCACCTACTCAAGATCAGATGTGATTTCCAGGTCTTCACCCCAGGGAATGTCTTTCTAGTCTTTTCTGGAATTCGAACAGAGTTTCTCTCAACATTCCTGGCACAGTATGTCTGTTAACCCCTCCCATTCTGGATTATTGTTTTTCCTTCCTCTCCTTGTTCATTTATTTGTTCATTTGTTATTCACTAAGCAATCAATAAACATTTATTGAGTATTGAATAGGGAACAGATATCTATTGAATGTTAAATAAGGAACAGGAGCAGATACTGGAATTTTAGTACTCAAAGTAGATCACGATAATGTATGTATCAAAAGGGATGGAGATTGTCATATAGAACCTACAGTAAACTGTTGTTCTTTCACTCCACTGGCTTGGACCTGATAAGTGGAAATTGACCAGCAGTAGTCGTTTGAAATTATTTATATCCAATGTAGATTCATTCAACGTAAGATTACCCAATATGGTCTATTTAATCTAGGAGGGTGCCTGTGATGGTGCACATGCTGGCCCTTCTACCTCTGCTCATCTGGCTGTATTAGGTCACCCTAATATGCTGATCCTCACAAGATGTGGTGCCCTTCATTGGATGCAGTCAGCTCACACAGGTTGGTACTAATAAGATACTGTGGCTAGAACTGGGCTGTGGACTCAAAACCTACACACACACACACCCCATATGTGGACTTAGGGTATTTTATTTCTTCTGGCAAAAAAAAATGCATTTAAATAGTATATTCATTATGGTAGAATTTCAGGCAGAGTAGTAGAGCTTTTTCATAGCAGGTGGCCATTCTTAATCTTCCTTAAGTGTACCCAACCCAAAGGTCTATTATCTTCTCTGTACATAAGACCTGGTGATAAGATTGTTGTCTTTGTAAATAAGGGCAAGTTTAAGAGATTTCATATATGTTTGCCACAAGGTCAAGTTTAAGAGATTTCAAATGTTTGCCACATCTGAGATTTTAAAAAATACTTCCAGTTTAACATAATTTTATGTACATTCTTCCAAATACTTTTTGCTTTTCCTTTCACTATGTTTAGGTAAATT
This sequence comes from Homo sapiens, assembly GCF_000001405.40. Classification (NCBI taxonomy): domain Eukaryota; kingdom Metazoa; phylum Chordata; class Mammalia; order Primates; family Hominidae; genus Homo; species Homo sapiens. Next base: position 110,474,197 of record NC_000004.12, read on the forward strand.
TGAGCCACATTTTTGCCTTTCATTCCTAAGAAACATATCAAAATATTTGACCCATCAAACATTTATTGAAATGTCAGATGATCTTTTCAATAAAAAGAGGGTTTCAAGGGCTAAAATTCAGGAAGTTAATGTGCCAAACTTAAACATACTGTGATCTCAAGAAGTTTAGGGTTGCTTCAGAATGTAAAATTAATCAATACAAGATGGGCCTACAATTTAGAAAAACATATCCCTTTTTCCTTTAATTCTTTTTCTGTTACTACTATTTTGTGAGAAAAACAGCAGAAATGTTACAGAGTAAAATGGACCCGTTTGCTTTTAAAGTTTTGTTTTTTGTTTGTTTGTTTAGTTTGTAATTTAGAACCGTTTGAAACAACGTTTCTCAGAGTGTGCTCTGTGGAACAGAGGGCCCTCAAAAGGTACCTCACCAGAAAAAGCTGTCTTGTCAACTAAATGGGGAAAGTACTCCGTCGTGTTTCCTCTCTGAGAGGCTCACAATGTGTGTCACCATCTGGAGGCTCTGCAAGAATGGAGAGTAGTAAAAGAAGATTTTTCACTTTAACCCAGCATTGTTTGCTTGGCAAGTAGATCTGTTAATATCCATGGATTGTATCTGGGGAAATACCAAGTTTTTCATAGTTACTTAACCCTTGAATATTTATCCTCCTCAGAGCATGGAAGCAAGCAGTAGAATGCGATCGTTGATATATGGACTTTAATTTTTTTAATTTTATTTATTTATTTATTTATTTTGAGATGGAGTCTTGCTCTGTCACACAGGCTGGAGTACAATGGCACGGTCTCTGCTCACTGCAACCTCCGCCTCCCAGCTTCAAGCAATTCTCCTGCCTCAGCCTCCTGAGTAGCTGGGATTACAGATGTGTTCCACCACGCCTGGCTAATTTTTGTATCTTTAGGAGAGACAGGGTTTCACCACGTTGGCCAGGCTGGTCTCAAACTCCCGACCGCAGGTGATCCACCTGCCTCAGCCTCCCAAAGTGTTGAGATTACAGGCGTGAGCCACCACACCTGGCCAGATATATGGACTTTAGACTCAGACAACGTGGGTTCAAACCCCAGTTCTGCTATTTGCCAGGTGTGTGACCTTGAGCAATAGCTTAACCTCTCTAAATGTCAGTCCATAGCTAAGCTGCCAGTAAATATGAAGTTCATTGAGATTTTTCTTCCTGAGCTTGTCATTCAGAAACAAAATGATAGATTTGCATGGATGATGGATTTCCCAACAGGTCAATTTTCACATCTGGAATCTACTTTAAACGTGCTCTACCACATCAAAGTCTAAGGAAGTCAATCTCACTTGGAGGCACACTGCAGAGACAAGTAGGCCTTCTTCCTTGTCCCTCTGTCCTTTCAGACTTCTCCCCCTCTTGTTCCCTCTCTCTTCTTAAGCTTTCCAGCTCCACTACTGCTTTGGCTAATTTCTTTGGGTTCCCCCTCTCTCATTCACCCAGCACCAGCTGAACTGATTTAGGTTTACCTGGCTATGCTTTCCAAATCTAATTCGACAAATATTTACTGAGTACCTAGGTGGTCCTTGAATCACCCTGAGCACCCAATTCCAGGATATGACTTCTTCAAAGGACAGAATTGGAATGTTTACATAATATGAGGGAAAAAAAATAAAAGAAAACACTTAGCTTCTTTAGCAAGCTATCTGATAAAATAGCTGAAATTCAAGAAGCCCTTTAGTTAGGAGGGAGAGATTGCGAACACAACAGGAAGAAGCCCCAGGCTGAGTGGCAAAGGTTGAGATTTTCTATCGTAAGCACACCTCACCCAAACGCTTGCTCCCTGAAAGCTGCTGACGGAGCTTTGGCGAGGGCTCATCCTCCCGTTGGCTGATAAGCGAAGCCCTGTTTTATATTTAACTCGCTGCAGTGCAGGAGGGGTAGGGGTGGAGATGCGTCGTTTATAAGGGGAGCTGTGACAATCTTCTTGCCAGCCCTCTTCCTCCCACTCGGCTCCTCTTACGGAGTCCTCATTCCACCCCCCTTGTTTCCGCATTCATCCTGAGTGGCTGGTGGGAACGTGAAAAGGGAGAGGAAAAGGCGCAAGAAGCCAGAGAGAGGGGTGTGGGAAAAGCGAAAACAGGCTGCCAAATCAGGGGATTCCTTCCAATTTAAAAAGGAAGTCTGCTGACGTTAGTTAGTTAAATTTAACATCTTTTTATGTGTAACACTTGACTTTGGAAGCAAAAATGAACTTTGCGGAGAGAGAGGGCTCTAAGAGATACTGCATTCAAACGAAACATGTGGCCATTCTCTGTGCGGTGGTGGTGGGTGTAGGATTAATAGTGGGACTTGCCGTGGGCTTGACCAGATCGTGTGACTCCAGCGGGGACGGCGGGCCGGGCACTGCGCCAGCTCCTTCCCACCTGCCTTCTTCCACGGCCAGCCCCTCAGGTCCTCCTGCCCAGGACCAGGACATCTGCCCGGCCAGTGAGGATGAGAGCGGACAGTGGAAAAACTTTCGACTGCCGGACTTCGTCAACCCAGTCCACTACGACCTGCACGTGAAGCCCCTGTTGGAGGAGGACACCTACACGGGCACCGTGAGCATCTCCATCAACCTGAGCGCTCCCACCCGGTACCTGTGGCTGCACCTCCGGGAGACCAGGATCACCCGGCTCCCGGAGCTGAAGAGGCCCTCTGGGGACCAGGTGCAAGTCCGGAGGTGTTTCGAGTACAAAAAGCAGGAGTACGTGGTGGTCGAGGCGGAGGAAGAGCTTACCCCCAGCAGTGGAGATGGCCTGTATCTCCTGACCATGGAGTTCGCCGGCTGGCTGAACGGCTCCCTCGTGGGATTTTATAGAACCACCTACACGGAGAACGGACAAGTCAAGTAAATATTAATTTTTGCTTTACCTCCCTTAAGCTCACATATCTGCTTTCCATTTCTTTTCCTTTCCTTTTCACTTTCCGCTTTTAATTATTTTGTTGGTCTGATATTGATCGGCTCTTGGTTTCAATTCTGGCTGTCCATCTGGGAAGCCAAAATTGTTGCCCTATTGTATTTCCAAACCCTGTCATAAAACTTGAAAGTAGTGAATGAGCTTCGTAGAGTCAAAAGTCAGTGTAAGTCTTTTATTCCATCAGGAGAAATCATAATATACTGCACCCTATCTTGAAGATTTCCATAAATTATCTCAGGTTTGAGAACTGCCTTTGGTAAATTTCACTAGTGATATTCCCAGGCTATGTAGCAATATATATACAGCAATATATATGAACTTTTAAAGTGGTATTACACTAAATTTACGTGAAACATCAGTAAATTTCAGTTATTATTTTGTCCATTTTTTTTTTGTCCAATGTCTCTTTTTTGGAGAAGAGAGACATTGAAAAATCACATGTGATCCACAGAATTGTCTTTGTGTCTTCATCTGGAAAGGAAGACAGGACTGTGTTTTTTTCTGTCTCCGATGGCCAGGACCATGCTTTACACATAGGCTTTCAGGAAATATTCATTGAGTCCACACATCAGTGGCATAGGTAAATTTGGAGGCTTGTTGCTCATGATACAATGTGCAAACATAATGCTAAGCCTTTTACAACATAAAAGATATATTAAGTAGTTAAATACATACAAATATTTGTATACAAATATCTATCTAGATAGATAGGTATTTATTCCACTTTCCCACCTATTTGTCTAGCCTTTGTATTGATCAGTGGCTACTACCAGAGCTATGTTAAAGGCATAAACTCTCTCATTGAACTCCAAAAACTTCCTTCACACTGTGGATGTAGCCCTTGCATCAGGGAGGAAGGCTACACTACACCTTGTGTTGTGTCTGGACTGCTTTGACCTTTGCTGGCTTAGATTCTGAAGAGGTAAATGATTAAGAAAGCTTCTTGTCACAGTTTAGAGATGTGAGTCTTGGGCCAGTCCACCCACAAATATCCCTTTTTTTCTGTTGTTTTAAGCATCTTACAGAGCAAGCAAATTTTTTGGTCAAAATTCTTTCTATTGTTTGTCAGACAGACCCACGGACTAAAACAAAACATTTAAATATTCCTATATTCCTGTGTGGTAAACTGATAAATTGAGTAGAAGTGATAGTTTGAAGAAAATATCTGTAGGGGTCATGCTTATATAGATCTTATATCTTAATACTGCTAGCAAAAAAACACTCTTACCATTTACGTATTTTTTCTGTTCATAAGAATTACATCATTGAAAGCATAAAAATTATCAAAAAGGATAATCAAAATAATCTGTAAAATAATTTCACTGCCCAGTGGTAATCCCTGCTAGCATATTAATGTATATTCTAATGTTTTTCTAGGCAATCAAACCTTTAATTGCATTATATCTGTCTATCTATATGCCTTTTTTACTTAATGTCTTGAGAAGTTCCCCTTATTCTTACATGTTTTCAAGAATCTGTTTTTTGTTCTTTATTGAGACAGGGTCTTGCTATGTTGCCCAGGCTGGTCTTGAACTCCTGGACTCAAGCAATCCTCCTGCCACCACTTCCCAAAGTGCTGGGATTATAGGCATGAGCCACTGCACACAGCCAAGAATCTGATTTTAAAGATGTGAAATATTCCATTGTTTGAATACATTGTAATTTTTTAAAACAAATTATATTGTTGAGCATTTGAGTTGTTTCTAGTATTTTATTATTATAAACAAATCATCAAATAACATACTTCTAAATACCTCTTTGTATGTGCATCTGTTTATTTCCTTAGGTTAGGATATAGTCCTAAAAATAGAATTGCTGGGTCAAAGTGTACAAATATACCAAGATATTGTAATAGTTACTTTGTTTATTGATAACATAAATAATACACGTTTATTGAAGGAAACTCAGAAAACAGAGAAAATTATAGGAAAACATAAATTCATCCATAAATTCTTTACCCAAGTATAGCCATTGTTAACATTTAGGCAGAGACTCTTTTAGTACTTTTCTGGACATAGATAGCTGTGGCATAATTATATTATACATAGTAATGTGTAACATGCTTTTCCAATATAGCATCAATGCTTTAAGATGTCATTTGATGTTCTTCCACAAATGATTCGATGGATACATGGTAGGCCATTGTATGACTACAATGTAGTTGATTCACTTTTCCATTAAATATGAGTATTTAAGTTGCTCCTATTTTTTCACCTATAAGGATCTAGAAGAAGGCGCATCCTTATATTGACTATCCTTGTAAATAACTATTTATGGACATTTTCTAATATTTAAGAAAATTCCTAGAAGATGGGCCAAAACTACCTGTGTATAAATGCATGTATGTCTGTGTATATATGTGTACATGCATATACATATATATGCATGAACATGTGTATGCATGTGTGTGTGTCTCCAAACTGACTTCCAAAAAATATGTCCCAAACTCCATTTCCACCAACAATGTATGAAAGCGACTATTCCTCTGAGCCTTACTAACAATACAATGATTTTTTAAAAGTGTTTGCCAATGGTCGAGGGAAGGGCAATATTCTGAAGAATATCCACCTTAAAGAGATTCTAAAAATTCATTGAAGTGAAAGCGAGTCAAGACTTTTTAAATATTATTGCTAAAACTTTAAAACTGCTTCTTAGATCATAAAGACAAGAGAAATTTTATCTGAATAAAACCATCAAAATATTTATAAAATAATAAAATAAAATTTTACACATATTAGGAAGGCCAAAAATTGGAACTATGTAGTCTCCATTAATAAGTTTCTATTATGTACTTTATAAGTCTAAAAAAAGCATTATATACACAAATACTCTCACTCTTTGAGTTATTTTAGTGTACCAGTTAATTTTGCCATAAAATATATACCAGAGAGCTGCCCTTCTGAAGCTCAGTTGACTTAACTTTTGATTGGAGATTACGAAATGATGGCAACATCGGTGAGGAAGGCTGATGCTCAGTTCAGTTCTCACTGAGGATTGGTGTTCCCAAGTTTGTATGTTTCATTGGGAGCAGTTGAAGCTCTCACATTACAAAAGATGCTGCCAGTTCTGTACTGCACACACATGGTTTTGGAACAGATCTGGCGTCAGCTCAATAACCTCATTTAGGCTAAATGGAATACTTTTTGTTATCCTTGTCTGAAATATTTCAAGCATATGAGAAAAGTGCATCATGCTTTTTTTTCTAGCCTGTGAGTAATATTTTGGCAATGCAGCCTCTAGGAGTTCTCATCCACAGGCTCCATATAAGGGCCACCAGAGGGAGTTCACTGGGGGCAGTGCCTTTCTTTCATACTATAGAGTGAGCTTCGTCATATGTGACGTTTGTATCATTTTAAACGTCATCATAGTAATACATTTGAAGTACGGAGTCAAAATTATATTTTCTGACCTTAACGTAAAATGTAACTCCAGGATTGAGTATTAGTAGTTAGGGATATTAATGTGACAACCACAATGCAAACTAAACAGGATTGCACTCAGTAGTAACCAAAATTACTTAATTTCTGCAAATACAATCAGGACTTTGAGCTTCACAAACTTCACAGCTACCCAAGTTGCTTTCTCTCAAGATTGAGACATGGGGAAGAAAGGGGACAAAATTTAGAATTCCACATTGTCTTTCTGGGGACAGAGTTGTAGTGGGGCGTGGAAGGAGAAAGTTTGAGAAACATCCAGTCGCTTTTCCTTTATCGATCTACCTCTTCCTACTCGCTAGTCTATTCTTCAGGGTCTGAGGAAAACCACTTGGAAGGATTGGAACCTTTGGAATGTTTCTCTGACCACACCCTCCTTCTTCCCATTTTCTCACCGTGTTACGTAGGATTTCCAGCTGTTCCCTTCCCTAAAAGAGTTTCCCTCTACTCAAACTCCAAAGTATATATTTTCTTCTCTCCAAGATTTGGCTTTTCCTTGTCAGCATTTGGATTATGCTTACTTAGCACTTCCCAAAGTATGTACTGCAGAATTCTAGTTGCATGGGGATCTTAGTAGATATTACCAGAAAAATAGCAGGGGAGAGATTCTGTGGCTAAATCAGTTTGTGCAATAATACTAAATACAAAATGATCTGTTTTGGATTTTGTTTTTAATTATGGAACTTTTCAGAGACTTTTTTTTTTTTAAAGAGATGAGATCCAGGCTGGGGTAGAACTCCTGGCTTGAACTCATGAGTTCATGAGTTCAAGTGATCCTCCCACCTCAGCTTTCCGAGTAGCTGGGATTACAGGGTTTTCAGAGGCTTTTATATGATAATGTCCTCTATGTAGTTTCCCAACTCTCTGTGACTATGGATTCTTCTGTGGGGTTCCTAAGAGTAGGGATATATGTCTTTCCTTTACTGTTTGGCACACAGTGAGCACTCAAATATTCTCAAATGGAATAAATGAAAATATTATCATATAAGCTCTCACATGACTAGTATCCTCTGGCAAATGCTGGGACACATTGCATTACCACAGCTTCTCTCCCATAAACGAGCCTAACTTCCACCAATAACATCTCTACATTCCCACTTAGGGTGAAAATTTTCCCTTGGTTCCTTTTCTGCCTACCCTGTGGAAGGGAAGAGTTTATATGTGTATGTATATATATTTGTACTTAGGAATGCAATCTCCGTAGTTTAAAGGCAGAGAAACAGTGGAATTGACAGGAAGTACAACCGGAATTTTAGAGATCATTTCTAGTTTGGGCTGCCAAGGTGTTCTTCGTAGCGCTAGTAGGATTTAAGCTGAATTTTGATGTTCTGGTGGGAGTTCAGCAGCAGAGACAAGTGAGAAACTAAAAGCAGGCAAAAAGGAAAGGCACCAAGTCAGAAAAGCAGAGTGGGGACAAGAAAATTAGTTTGTAGGGGAAGTTTATATGAACAGGCTAGCTAGATATCACTGAGGAAAACCCTTACGGAGGAAAAGGAAAAATAGCCATGATAGGCATTATGAAGGAGAAATTACCCCATGACTTTTTGGATACAGATGGCAAAAGAAAGAGTTAACTCAACCATCCACTTGGATATATGAAAGATATTGCAGCAATCCAGGAAAGAGAAGATAAGGATCAGATAGGAAACGTGATTTCAGGATAGAGAAGAGAGGGCACAGTAGAGAAAATAGTTTGGAGGTAAAGTAGTCAAGATTTGACGATTGCTTGACTATGAGGAAGGGTGAGTTAAAGTTATGGGTCTAGGATACCCCAGCTAGCCTTCACCTCAATTGATATTGGAAATAGGTGGGAAGTAGCCAGGTTAGAAGGGAAGGTCGTAAGTTCAGTGTCAGATGTGTTGATGGCTTGTCAGACATCTAGGAAGAGATGACTAGTAGGCACTTGCATAAGTATGTCTGAAGCACAAGGTTAGAGCTTGTAATAAAGATTTAGGAGTTGAGTGGAAACATCGGTGAGATAATCATCATTAAGTGTGTGTGTGTAATGTATTCTTACCTGCATGGATGTGTATGTATACTCAAGCACATGTAGTTTTGATCTTGAAATTTTTGTCGTATGTCAGTTTGTTCATTATATTCTTAGATTAGTATGCTGAGCTATTATCCCATTGTCAATAAAAATGTCAATAAAGAATAGATTTTAGGTTGGGCGAGGTGGCTCATGCCTGTAATCCCAGCATTTTGGAAGGCTGAGGTGGGCGGATCACCTGAGGTCAGGAGTTCGAGAGCAGCCTGGCTAACATGGTGAAACCCCGCCTCTACTAAAAATACAAAAATTAGCCGGGGGTAGTGGCACATGCCTGTAATCCCAGCTACTCTGGAGGCTGAGGCAGGAGAATTGCTTGAACCCAGGAGGCGGAGGTTGTAGTGAGTCAAGATCGCGCCACTGCACTCTAGCCTGGGTGACAGAGTGAGACTCCATCTCAAACAAACAAAAAAAGAATACATTTTCTTTTTGGTCTTGTTTACTTGTTGCAGGAGGCTAAGTAAATTTCTTTTATTTTGGAAGCAAGAAAACAAAAAGAAATTTTACTTGACCTTGAATATCTTCTACATAGAAAAAAAAAATTGGAAAATAAAGTTAAATAACTAACTGGTTCATTCAAACCACCATAAAAATACATAGAGGTCTGAACAATCTAGAGGGGTTGTTTTTCACCAAGCTGCTCCTCTATGTAATTCTGGAACCCTTTATTTAGTCTATATAGACCCCTAGCAATTGTGACTACCTGTCCCGAATCAGAAGCTCTGTGTTTAAGGATTTCACCCAAAACTTGCTGTTTATTTTGCTGGTTCAACTTATAAAATTGCTCAGCACAGCCAGAGAGTCTTCACTGGAAACAGCATGCCAGATGATTTATGAGATAATTAGGTACCTTTTTTGGTTTTTTTTTTAGAGTCAATTCAGAGTGATCCAAGCCATAACTTGTGCCATCGCCCCTTCTCCCTCAGTTTTCTTAAAGTCACCTTGATCTGATCCACTCAGAGATGCCAGAGAAATGCTCTTCCCTTTTGGAAACGACTAAATTGCATAGACTATCATTTTATTGTGCTAGGTCTAGTAAGTGACTTATTAATGTGGCATAGGGAGGCCCTTGTGGGAAGGTGGTTTACTCCAACACATTTGCCTGGCGCGATAATTATTCAGGACGTACCCACAAGTCACTCCTGAACATATTGTGCTATTAGTCAGCCTTTTTCTCTTAATTTGCAAGACAAGTCATCTGATTTTAATCACTGAATAAAATCTTCCCAAAGAAGTTGTGATCTAGAATTGTTTTGTATTGTTATCTCTTATTCCTTGTTTTCAACTTTGCACACACTTAGAAAAGTTTAGGGCCAACTGATGGAATTTAGGATATATAAAAAGGAGCTTTTGAGTTATTCTGAAGTTCATGAGAAAAAGAACAGGTTACCATTTTAAAAATGCTTACATTGCCTATAGTGTATATACACCAAGTAATTTTGTTCCAGTATATATTGCAGTCAAATGAAAGGATTTGAAATATTTCAGATTGTGAAAGTGCTATGTCAGAAAGCACTAGCATTCTAGATTTATAAGATGTAGAATGAGGTATATCCTAACCACATTATGTAAATTTTAAGGGAGTTTCAAATGTATTACTACATGTAATCTACGCCTTCTCACTTCCCCATAACGCTGTGAGGAGGCTATACATGCTCTGGTGACCAGGTTTTACAGATGAGGACACTAAAAGTCTGGGGTTTTGTGACTTGGTCAAGATCACACTTTAGTAGCTGAAGTGGATTAGAATGTAAGAATGTTTGCTCTTAGAAAAGGGTTTTCCCCATAAAATCATATTGGCTCTGAACTTTAAAAAAGAAAAAGAAAATAAACATTATATAGCTCTTCGGGTTGATGAATGTCACTGTATCTATATCTGGGTCACTGTGATTGAGTTAGACTTGCTGTGACTGACATTTGCTGAGAGGACCACTGAGCTGGGCCAAACACACCGCACAGAGAAATCTCCCACACTGTTCTGTTCCATGTCCGTTGGCAAGCTCAGGAATACGCTAGTTTAGGAAGGTAGTTTTTGCCTACAATCAAGCAGAATGTCTTTTAAAGAGAGAAGGTGAGAAAAGGATTGAAAATTATTTTCTTTCCTGGGATCTTAGGAATATATATTATATATATTATATTATATTTTATATATATATTATATTATATATATATATATTCATATTCTGGCATCCAGCCAAGAGTAAAATAGAGTATTTGAAAACATACCCCATGGCTATAGCTTAGGAAAGTGTAATTCCACTTCCTCCTTCCTCTCACCTCCCACACACGAAGATGTGTGTGGTGCGCGCATGCACGCACGCACACTCACACACACTCATCTTCTCAAATTAGTTAGCTGGCCTATTTCTGAGGTGTGACTCAGAGGAGACATTCTTGCAAGGAGTGACTTTTCCTTTTCCCCTGCCTCTGGAAGACATCAGAAGTCAGAAGAATTCAGAAGGAAAAGGCAGCTGACTAAACATGGGGTTGGAGCTTGGTGGATCTTATAAAACTTTCAAACTCTGGGAAAGTGTACAGGCTTTTTTAGAGTCTGATATACTTGCAATTAACTACAATCTGCAAGATGTTTAGAAACTTCAATTGACTAAACTGTTAATGTCACAAAACTAATCAATGATTGTTCTATTGCAGAATGAATTCTTAACTGAGGCTTTTCTTGGGTAACTTTATTGTGACATAATTTCAGACTCATAGGAAAGTTATAAGAACGGTACTAGGAATTCCTAGAAATACTTAACCTAGATTCACCAATTGTTTACGTTTTAGCCTGTACCCCTTCCCCTTCCTTTCCAGAGCACATGGAAACATCCTCTCCCTTTACCCCTTAACATCAGAGCATATTTCTTAAGCACGGGGGCATTCTCTAAAATAAACATAGTACAGTCATCAAAATCAAGAAATTTAACATTAATACAACTATCTAATTCACAGTCTGTAATAGAATTTTATCAACTAACCTAATGATGTCTTTTTGAATGTTTTTTCCCCCAGTGCAGTACCCAGTCTGGAATGCTGCATTGCACTTAGTGTCATGCCCTTTTAGACTCCTTTAAACTGAAACCAGTCCCTTAGTCCTTCTTTGTCTTTCTAAAGTTAATATTTTTGAAGAATACAGGCTGGCTATTTTGAGAATGTCCCTCAGTTGTAGTTTGTCTGATTTTCCTCATGATTTAAAAATGCAAGTTAAGTTTTTTGTTTTTTTTTTTCTGTCAGGACTATCACAGAAGTGATGTGTCTCTCTCAGGAAATCACATTAGAGACACATTGTGCTGGTTTGAACTATTATTACTGATGCTTCCTTTGATAGCTTGCTTAAGGTAGTGTCCACCAAGCGTCTCCATTGTAAAGTTACAAGGTTTCTCTTTAGGTAACTTTCAGGGAGTTTTTGAAACCTTGCAAATATCCCTTCCTCACCAAACTTTCACCCCCTGGATTTGGCATCCACTGATGATTTTTTAAAATAATTTTTTCCTTCAAATATTATTAGTAGGCAATCTACTGGAAGGAATAACTTTCCCTTCTCACCCATTTATTTATTCATTTTAAAAAATCAGAGTAAGGACTCAGAGATTGTTAATTTGTTCAATGAGTTATTATCCCGTTGTTTATTGTGATGTTCCAATACTCCCATAATTTGCCAAAGGCAGTCAAATCCTTGGCTGTAGTAAGTCCTTGAATCAAAATAAAATGCACGCTCTTCTCATGATCTCTGATATTTTCCTGATCTGGCCTCTGCTGACCTCATGTCAAACTTATCTCTGGCTCCAGTCCGTCTGGTTCAGTGTTCTTTAGCCACACTGGACACCTTTCAATTCTTCAACCACAGCAGGTTCTTTTTCATCTTAGGGACTTTGCACTTACGGTTCCTTCTACTTGAACATGTTTCCCTGAACCTCCACTTGCCTGGCTTTTTCTCATTATTCAGATCTCGGCAAACCAAGAGATTGTGACCACTCTACCTAATGTTGTTTACCACTTTTCCTAGTCATTCTCTGTCTCTTCCAGTGTTTTATTTTCTATGTAGCTGTCATCACTCTCCTAAGTTATTTATTTATTTGTGTGTCTCTTGTCTAACACTCTGTAAGCAGTCTGGAATCTTATCTATACATGTAACTGCCCAGTGGGTTCACCTTGCCCGCTGCCTAGACAGAGCCGATTTATCAAGATGGGGGGAATTGAAATGGAGAAAGAGTAATTCACACAGATCCGGCTGTGCAGGAGACTGGAATTTTATTATTACTCAACTTTGTCTCCCCGAACATTTGGGGATCAGAGTTTTTAAGATAATTTGGCGGGTAGGGGCTTGGGAAGTGGGGAGTGCTGATTGGTCAAGTTGGAGATGGAGTCATAGAGGGTCGAAGTGAGTTTTTCTTGCTGTTTTCTGTTCCTGGGTGGGATGGCAGAACTGGTTGAGCCAGATACTGGTCTGGGTGGTGTCAGCTGATCCATCAAGTACGGAGTCTGCAAAATATCTCAAGCATTAATCTTAGGTTTTACAGTAGTAATGTTATCCCCCATGAGGAATTTGTGGAGGTTGAGACTCTTGCAGCCAGAGGCTGCATGACCCCTAAACTGTAATTTCTAATCTTGTAGCTAATTTGTTAGTCCTGCAAAGGCAGACTGGTCCCCAGGGAAGAAGGAGGTCTTTTCAGGAAAGTGCTATTATCAATTTTGTTTCAGAGTCAAACCATAAACTGAATTCCTTCCCAAAATTAGTTCGGCCTATGCTCAGGAATGAACAAGTGCAGCTTAAAGGTTAAAAGCAAGATGGAGTCAGTTAGGTCTGACTTTTTTCACTGTCATAATTTCCTCTGTTATAATTTTGCAAAGGCGGTTTCATACAGCAGCTAGAAAAATGTCTGCAAATGTGTGCATGCATGCATAGGTGCTTGTGTGCGCACGTGTGTGTGTGTGGAAGGGACTCAATTAATGTTTCTTGGATGAATGGATGATATAATAATTTAGCCTGATATTCTTTATGATATGTCTTTCTTAGTTTCCAGAATCCTGAAGGACAAAATTTTTGTTTGTACAAATTATTAATGAATGGAAATTACCATTTCTTTACTTTTATACTTTTTACTTTGCTTCATTTTCTAATAAGCCAATATACAATATTCTTTTACTGTAATATGTTTACATGTAAAAAGTGTATGCTATTGATTTTTTTGAGCAATTACTCAGAAAATAATATTTTCACCTTGAAATTATGAAAATACTAAACATTAACATTTTAGTTTACACCAGCATATGCCTAGTTAGAGCCATAAAAAAAAATGCTGCTCTCTCTTTTTAAGAGTGAGCTTTAAACTAGGACAAAGGTTACTTCACCTAGGAGATTACTCAGCACTGCCTTTACATGAAAATGAAACTGGGGGTTTTGTCCCTGTTGTAACATAAATAACAAAGAATGTGCCATTAGGGACAGGGACTGGGGACTCTGGAATAACCTCCACTCTGTGACAGAAGACAGCTGTTCACTTCCCATAAGGGCAGTTAGACACAAGCTTTTAAGTTTGGCTTTGTGTTTATCTACTTGTTGCTCAATGGGCTTGGGGTGGAGAGAGTACTAGCTCATAATTGGATTTATTTTTGCTCCTCCACAGAGTTTTAGTTATGGCACCAAAATAGCTGTTAGGTTGATGCAAAAGTAACTGTGGTTTTTGACAAATAAATATGTGAATGAAATATCTGAAGCAATCTGACTCAGAATTTTTTAAAAATTTGTTAAGCTAAAAATTCCAGGAAAACCTTTGACAAATATTTGATAGTCTTCTAGATGGAACCTCATTTTTAGAAATGTAATAGTTATAATTGCATAGCTGATTTTTTTTTCCCCTAGGAATAGAGACATAGGGGTTGTCAGAAGAGGCAGCATGCATTTCGTTTGTTTGTTTGTTTGTTTCTAAGGAGCATAGTGGCCACCGATCATGAACCAACAGATGCCAGGAAATCTTTTCCTTGTTTTGATGAGCCCAACAAAAAGGCAACTTATACAATATCTATCACCCATCCCAAAGAATACGGAGCACTTTCAAATATGCCAGTGGCGGTAAGTATTTTTTAAATGTTTTGTTTATGCAGAGAGTCTGTTGACAACATTAGGCCAGTTACCTGATTTTCTGTGAAAGAGAACCCATTGAATTCTAAAACTAAATGTGCACTAATAGTTTATTTAGCTGAGTGAAATACATTTTGGCAATCTTTTTCTTTGAGTCCTAGAAGTCTGTAAGGTATCACAGTCCAGTAAGAAAGCCAGATTGGTGTTTCTGTGCAAGAGACAATGCCATAGACACACACATCAGCTTGGGCTCTGCTTAGCTGCCAGGATCCCTGAGTCGTGACAGATTACAGTAATGGCAAACTAATGGAATTACAGACTTGAAAATATTTGAGGGCTACTCACTATTTAGTTTTCAGGTGAATATAAATCCAGTTTTTGTTTTGTTTTTTTGAAAAAGATAAAGCTACTATTTAAAAAAATCATCACTTAAATAGTGGGTTGTGGAAGCAAACTCCAGGGAACACTTTGCCCATAGACTCCTTTGGTGAGTGGGAAGTGCTTGTTAAATGTCTGGAGAAAAAAAAAAAACAGGCTATAAAAAAGGATGAGTTCATGTCCTTTGCATGAACGTGGATGAAGCTGGAAACCATCATTCTCAGCAAACTAACACAGGAACAGAAAACCAAACACCGCATGTTCTCACTCGTAAGTGGAAATTGAACAACAAGAACACATGGACACAAGGAGGGGAACATCAACACCAAGGCCTGTCAAGGGGTGGGGGGCTAGGGGAGCGACAGCATTTGGAGAAATACCTAACGTAGATGACAGGTTGATGGGTGCAGCAAACCACAGTGGCACGTGTATACCTATGTAACAAACCTGCACATTCTGCACATGTATCCCAGAACTTAAAGTGTAATAAACAAATAAATAAATAAATAAAATTAAAAAAAGAAAAAAGAGAAAAAATTTTAAAAGGCTGATAATTTCTGCTGTATAAATTATTTGTTAACATAAAACACTTCTCTCTGTTATTTTGTCTCATCCCTATAATGGATAATGTTGTTACCTAGAGTTTCATTGCCTCAAAGTTGAGGTTTACATACTTTACACATTCGACATGTAAAAGGGTCAGCCTCATCTTTAGGTATAATAATCAGAAGGACACCAGCCCCAAATTATGTCTCCCATCTTTCTGATCCACTATTTGAAATATTGTCATTAAAATTCATCTTTTTAAATGATAAAATATTCCTTGAAAAAGCAACAACAAAATAAAGCAAATAAACACTTAAGAGGATTAAAATATACTCTTAGCAGCCATCCATGCCTCAGTGAGAATTAATTATCAATTTGTTTTCTTCTAAGGTTTGATTGGAGAAGAAAGAGGAAAGGATAAACTTAAAGTATGACACACCAATCTAGATGAAGGTGGGGGGAAAAAATGGCAAAGTCACCAACTTCTGCTTAAGAACTTCCCTTATGGCCTTTTCACTGTGCAGAGTTACACTTTACCTTCTACTAGATCCAGATAGTAGTCCTGGAAGAAGGAGAATATTCTGGGTTCTTAGGCCATCAAAACTAACACTACTAGGTTTTTATGGTAGAGTAATGTAGCCTGGAGCCCCACCACGATTATACAAGGGCATGCACACCCGTGCTTGAAGTGTCAGCCGCACCCATTCTAATCCAGCCTCCCTCGCTTAATCTCTTTTTAAACCATCCCAAATAGAGTGGCTGCAGGAGATGTGGAAATGTTTAATAATGGAAGCAGGAGTTGGGCAAGTATTCGTGGTTGAAGTGTTAGGATTGGTGATCGACAGTGAGGACAGCAGAGCTGGCATGGACAGAACAAGCCAGATAGGTCAGTAGTTGTGTCAAGCAATAGAATCCTCCTCTCTGTCCATGGAGACCGAGCCACTGACTTTGGTGACCATACCTTTGGTGTTTGATGTAGACAACCAAAGACGGAAAAGAGAAGCCAATGTTCCGCTACACCAGGTACAGCAATTGCCCTACTGCCAGTCGAATCAGCAAATATCTGAGCACGAGTCTGTTTTTCATTAGGAGATTGCAGTACTCTGAAATATTATGGTCAGCATGATGTGTTTAGTGTAGACAGATAAACTCCTATTTAACTGATAGTCCACTCAAAATTTTATTTCTCCCTGAAAAACCTGATACAGTGTGTAATTCAGTCAGTCTTTAACAGTTCTAAAAACAAAGTAAATTTTCCTGTAGTCTTTTCAACATCACCACAAACAATTTGACCTCTAAGCTTTGACAAAGGACTTCTGGCTAGAAAGCAAGGTTTGGGGCAACCGTTTATTTGTTTGTCTTGCATATATATGATTGATATTTTGATCGATAAAAGTTTATCTTTTCTTTTCAATAGAAAGAAGAGTCAGTGGATGATAAATGGACTCGAACAACTTTTGAGAAGTCTGTCCCCATGAGCACGTACCTGGTGTGCTTTGCTGTACATCAATTTGACTCTGTAAAGAGAATATCAAATAGTGGAAAACCTGTGAGTCTCATTATATTTTAAAAATTTACCACCTATGCATTTGTAATTAATTATCTACCTTTTTTGGGTAGTTTTTTTTTTTTTTTTTCAAACAACATGCCTGAAAAGCCCTTTAGTCCCCAGGGTCTGTGGACTTGATAATACATAGAAAAATGTAGGCTGAAAGGATACAGGTAAAAAATAAACCAACACAACAGACATAGATATTTATGGCCTTAAATTATTTCAAGGGAAACATGTGCTGTAAGTCAAAAGCTAGCTCCTAAGTATACCAGCACAAATATATTAAAATGTTTGGGTATGCCCAATGTAATAAAATGTTTGGGTATATGTGTACCTCTCCCAGATATAGACTAGAGAGAGAGGAGGAAACCTGAGGTAAAGGAACATCCTTCGAATGACAAGGCACTGAAAAGTTTATGGCTCCATTCCTATATGTAATCAAAATAGGTAGCAACAAAGTATCCAAAAGCATTTTTTAAAAGTATGATAAAATATAAATAAGCTTTTTTTAAAAATATCAAGACGACTAGTTCAATAGTTTTCTTTCTTTCTTTTTTTTTTTTTTTTTTTTGAGACGGAGTCTGGCTCTGTCACCCAGGCTAGGGTGCAGTGACACGATCTCAGCTCACTGCAACCTCCACCTCCCGGGTTCAAGTGATTCTCTTGCCTCAGCCTCCTGAGTAGCTGGGACTACAGGCACCCGCCACCACGCCTGGCTAATTTTTGTATTTTTAGTAGAGACGGGGTTTCACCATATTGGCCAGCCTTGTCTCTAACTCCTGACCTCAGGTGACCCACTGGCCTTGGCCCCCTGAAGTGCTGGGATTACAGGCATGAGCCACCGAGCCTGGCCCAATCGTTTTCTTTTGAAGAACCACATACTTTTACCTAATTAATTTTTTCATTTTGGAGGCCCCCATTTTGCTTATATCCTGAACATATGTTTAGGTTGTCTAGTAAGCCAGTTAATTCACCTCTGTGCCATATATGTCATATATATAAAGCCTCATCATCTTTGCAATATAATTTTATAAGGAGGAAATCATCACCCCCATTTTAGAGATGAGAAAAATTGAAGTTTAATAAATTTAGGCTATTTATTCAAGATTACCCAGCTGGCAAGTGGTAGAAACTTAAATTCCAAACTCCTTCCAGATACTGTATCTTGCTTAGCCTTCTGATGTGTGATATTCTGAAAATATCTTTACCTCTTCATCAGTCACTGGAGGAGAGGGGATGGGTTCCTCTATTTCTGTGAAATGAACAAAGGGAAAATTTGCCTTTGCTTTGGTGTGGTAGGAGTTGATATTCAGATGTCCTCAACCTGGGTTGCCAGCATGCTGCCTATACCGTATACAAATTATAGCGAGTGGGGGATGTCCACAGACCTTTTCAAAGGGGCTGCATATCATGAGGACTCATCCGTATTCTAACTTTTCCTTGACACATAGGTTGCTTTGATGCAACCTTCAGTCGTGGTAAAGGGAACTACTAGTGGCTGATAGATAATACTGGTATGAAAAGGAAATGGCATCAGAAATAGGAAGTTGTTTTTTCTAGATTGTGCTGAGTGCAGTCGATGGCATTCCTCTTGCTTAATATAGAGGTGAGAACATTAGTCAAGCTTGGTTTTTTCTTTCCGTCTCATAACAAACATGCAATTTTCATCTGAAGCTGCTTTCTTCATCATTGACAATTCAATTGCATGACTGTCTTTCATCATGTGCAGGTGTTTCCCATACCAAGTTTTAAAAATTATTATTACATTCTGAGCAAATTTTTCTATTTGAGGTAGAAATACCAAGAGGAAACAGAAAGGCTAAGCAATTGTACTAAAGATGACAAAGTCTCATAGGTAAGAACAATGCATTTAACCAATCAGCAGAGGACATAGTACTTGGAGTTATTTTCTAATAGTGACAGTGAGCTTGAATTTCCAATATGACTCTATCACCAGGTCCTCTGACCAAGGACATTTACTTGTAATATTATACTAACTAGGTAAATCACTAGAGCCTGTACCAGTTAGTTAGCTGGGTTCTTAGGATGGATTTTATATAAAGGATTTGAAGTGATATAATGAAAAAATACAGTTTTGCAAAAGATCCCAAAATGTCCTGTAGGTGGTAATTATTTCTTAAATGGTTCTTCTATGAAAACTAAGAGCATAACATTTTGTTTTAAATAAGTGATGCATTCCATCATTTGGGAGGGAAACAAACATAATATTGTTTTAATACATTACTGTCCAATCATCTATTTTATAAGAGATCAACAGAAGCCAAATTCCCTTTTGAAACTTCTCAGAGGCTCTGAGCCAGAAAAATTACAAGAAAATGAGATATGCCACTTTCCCCTTCCTCCAACCCTTCCATAGAAGACAGGCAGCCAGAGTTTCCCCTCCTGAAAAAACAGTGGGGCCGTTTCCTTTAAAAGTTGAACAGAACCTAATGGGAGAAATTTAAGGCATCTAGTGTGAATGCAAATGCTCCACAGTGAGTTCCTCCTCTTTGGCATTTGGGAGGTTCCCCTCCTGGCTCCCTACCCACTTACTGTAAGTTGAAATCTAATAGTTGACACCCACCCAAGTACAAACTGCTCCTGGTATGATTTCCCACTCCAGAGAGTTACAGAAAAACCAACCTACTTAAATCTATTGAAATGTAACATCAGAGGAAACTCACACCAGCCTCAGAGTCCTACATTCTTAGAACTTAACAGACAAGCTAAGAATAACCAGGTATATGAGGAAAACAAGTAACATAAAAGAAAAACATCCAAGACAAATAGAAACACCGTGGGAGTAAATAGTGATAACTGGAGAAACAAAAGAGAATCCCGAAAAAGTCATAACAAAATTAAACATGCACACACACAACCTTTAATTAATGTATTCAAAAATTCAAGAATATGATAGTCATAAAAGAAAAACCAAAAAGTGACGAGAAAACGATCAGAAATAGTAGTCAGAGTTTTAGAACGTGATTTCCAAAGCATGGCTTGGGTCTGATCCCCAGGAACCTGTTTCCGACCCATTCCTTCCAAAACTGGAGCTCAATATGCTTATAGCTTCCGATCCTTATGTCTTGTTCCCATTTTTATATTTTATCACTAATTTCTGAGTATTAGGATTAGTGGGGTGCATCAAAGCATCCCTTTACTGTACCACCTGTACCCAAAGTCCTTTATTACTTTTTTAGTAAAAAACAAAAATAAAAAATGAAGCCATGTATTTGTTATGTACACCATTAATAGGTGACTATTCTTATCCATTCTTCTTCTGACAGTATTATTCTGGTACATTAACCACCTGCTATTCATAATCAGATTATACTATGCAATCTAAGAATCTATAATGCCCTGATTCAACTTGCTTGGGTATATTCACCTCTCTGACAATAGTTCCTTTATATCAATAAACACAGAATCAATGCCTGCATTCTTAATAGTTTAGTTGGAGAGAGTACAGCAGACTTTAGAGTTGAGCCATTCATTATGTTTAAAATATCCTTGTCGCTCATGAGAAAAATTAAATTGGTTTTGGAGGTAGCTCAGAAGTCTTTTCACTCTTCATATTTTCTTTTTAAATTAATTGCATTGCATTTTGATTCAATGCTAAACAGAGTAACATGAAGAGTTACTTAGAATAGTTTAGCAACAATTGAAGCCAGCCACTGATGGAAGGAATTTTTTACAATTCTGCAAGAAATCTACTCCTGAGGTCTTCTTCAGGTTTAGTTGATTGATTAGGGTTTTAAAGTAAATGAAATCACTGAATTTCACCCCAGAAAAACAAACAAGTGGACACACCCTGAACTGTGCATAGTATAGAGAGATTATATGACTTTTTAGTTATGTGAACAAACTGTTGAGTTATTGTTTAAAAAAAATGTAATCCTATTGTTCCTGCAGGAGTCATCAGAGAGGAAACAATATCCCCAATAAGCATGTCATGAACATGAGAGTTCAGCACAAAGTTCCCCATTGGAATTTATTGCAATTCATTTTCAAACCAAGAACAATGTACATTATAAATATATTTTTGAGTTTTTAAAATTATAGGTTTAATTCATGTACATTATTGAAAATTTGGAAAACGCAAAGTAGGAAAAAGGAAAATCCCCCGTATTAGTATATATAAAATCATTTGAAGTTGTTAGGTTTGTGTTGCTTTCTGAGGTACAGTTGACCTACAGTAACTTTCCCAGAATGCTTTCGCTCTGCATGATTCTTTAAGGAATCAAATTCAGGACGAGTTAAATGGCAATGGTGGCCGGGCGCGGTGGCTCATGCCTATAATCCCAGCACTTTGGGAGGCTGAGGTGTGCAGATTACTTGAGGTCAGGAGTTTGAGAACAGCCTGGCCAAAATGGTGAAACCCTGTCTCTACTAAAAATACAAAAATCAGCCGGGCGTGATGGTGTGTGCCTGTAATCCCAGCTACTCGGGAGGCTCAGGCAGGAGAATCGCTTGAACCCAGGAGGCAGAGGTTGCGGTGAGCCGAGATGGTGCCACTGCACTCCAGCCTGGGTGACAGAGCAAGACTCGGTCTCAAAAGTATACATAAATAAATAAGTAAATAAATAATAAATGGCACGAGTGATTTCGTTCCTGAGAAACAAAAATCTCAGGAGCCCTTGAATTTCTTTGGGGGCATTTGGCATCTGTATTTTATAAAGAAGTATGTGCAAAAACAAGAAATTACCTTGTTGGAGATTATTTCAACTCTAGTCAAGTTTTCCTTGGCTTTCCTGAACAGAGGGGGAAGCTGGGAGGAATTATTCACTAAGGGAATGCTGGTGGAAGATATTATCCATTTAATTAGGTTTGTACTATGACCATATTAATTCTAATATATCAGTAGAAGGGATTATGTTGTACTTTCTTCCAAAAATCTTACAGGATGATCGCTGAATAATTGCATCTAGGATTCTCTCTGTGAATGGGTTCTTCCTACTGTCTGTGTCTTCTTACTTGCTTCCATCTTAGTCCGTTGTTTGCCTGGATTAGAAAGATAGGCTGAAGGCAGAGTATGTATGTATATATGCCATGGATTTTTAAAAACAGCCTATCTTTATAACAGTTTTAGGTTTTGTGCCATAGACTTTGATTTATGTATTTCTCTTCATAGAAATAATCTTATTTTTTAAGTTTCATTGCTTTAATGCTCAGAGATATATTTTTAAACTTCTTATTTTGAAATAATTTTAGATTTACAGAGAGTTGCAAAGACACAAGAGTCTCCATGTAACCTTCCCTTAATGTTAATATCTTATATAACCATTTATCAAACATTCGTCAAATCTAAGAAATCAATGTAATACAATACTATTAACTAAACAACAGTCTTTACTTGGATTTCACCAGTTTTTTCACTAATGTGCCTTTTCTATTCCAAAATCCAATAGATGATACATCTACATTATACTTAGCAATGCTGTCTCCTTAATTCATTCTGATATATGACATTTCTCAGTTTTTTTCTTTTTTATGATCCTGACACTTTTTAAGAGTACTGTTCAGGTATTTCGTAGAAAGTTTCTCAGTTTGGGTTTGTGTGATGTTTCCTCAAGATTAGACTGAGGCTTTGGATTTTGGAGAATACCACAGAGGTGAAGGGTCCTTTTCATCACATCCTATCAGGGGGTACATGACATCCTCATGACTTATTCCTGGTGATGCTAACTTTGATCACTTGGTTGAGATGGTGTCTGCTAGGTTTCTCTGCTTCAGTTTACTAGTTTTTTATTCCAATCTTCTGTTTTTTAGAAGCAATCGCTAAATGCAGTCCACACCCAAGGGGAAGAGAGTTAAGCTCTACTTCCTGGAGGGAGGAGTCACAAAGAATTTATGGATATACATTATGACCACCACAGTGATTAATAAATATTTAGGGAGTGATAATTAAAGGCTATGTGAATATCCTGTTAGTTCTTCAGGTTTTGACCACTTATTGTAGCATTCCCCAGTGGATGTCCACAACAACTGTTATTGTGGTGTTCTAAAGGTGATTTTTCTGTTTTCCTCAGAATTATTTTTGACATATGGTCATTTCATTATTTTAAAAACTTATTTTGGCTGTGGCTTTGCTAAGTTTTCAGAATGAATTTGATTTCTAGAACATTTTAATTAGTTTTTTTTAATTAATTTCTTTACTGGAAGGGTTATCTTTAAATGGAAGGTTATTAATCTCCCTTGAAGGAAACTGTTTAATTTAGTAAGCCACGGAGGATTGCTAATGATTCTTATTTTTTATTTAAATTTACAAAAATATAAACAAAATAATAAAAATAATGTAAGATTTTATGGGGTAATTTAGATTTTTTAATGTTCATTTTTTAATTTCTTAAAAATTATACTGCAGTAATAATCACTAAGCATCAGACAACTTAAATTTTAACTTAAATGGAAAGTAAGTGGCCAATAAATGCTTTGTGTAACCTAATGGCCGTGCTGAGTTTCTTCTTAAACAGCAATTCATAGCAGGTGAGTTCCGACTCAGAGTCCGAACATGTTTTGAACCAGCATAGCTACAGCGGAAAAAAAGGTGTTTTTTCACCTAAACTTCAAACCAAGGTTTTGCATATTCATACTAATTTATCTATGAGGAAGGAGCAAACTAAAATTTAGAAAGAATATATCACATTGATAAGGCAGAACTTAAAAAGAAAAAAACTGATGTATCACTATTCCTTTCAACTAAGTACCCTCCTCTGCTAACTTTCCACCTACTACTGGAAGAATATTTAAAAGAACATAAACTTTATAAAATTTAACACATTAATGGCATGTTCAGTAATACCAGCTATGTACCTTAAATATGCATTTATATATTTAAAAACAATATAGATTTATTTTCTCTTTCTCATCCTGGCTACCTCAGTATTGATAATGAAACAGTTTCTTCAAACTGATTATTGTGTACATTTTTATTGAGCATCTACTATGTGCACTGGAGGATGCTAAACCCTGAAGAGAGTGAAATATGCTGATATCTGTACTTCAATTAAGATGTGCACCAGATACAGTCACCACTGCCCTGTGCCACCCAAGTGTGTTTTCAGGTCTTTCTTGGTGTTACTAGCCCTGAGTGCCAAGGATCTCAGCTTGTTTTTGGGGGATCCTTTAAGCATGCTCGTCATTTAAAATGATGTGGCTCTTTGGAACAGCTCAGATGAGACCTTGCAAAAAAAACCTCAAGAGGTAAATGGTGCTACTTCTGCGGGATGATCAGCAGTGAAAAGTCAGGCTGCTGTCAATAAGTAGAGTGACCATATAATTTATCATCTATAAATATATATATAATAAATAATAGAGGAGGTGTTATTAATTAAGCTGGAACAAGACGTATAAACAGGTAAGCAACAGATTTACATTCCAGGGACATTCCTGGGCAAACCTGAATGTATGGTCACCTCTATCAATAGAAAACACTCAATAGACAAGGACAATAAGGATGTGGATCCAGGGCACAGCGGGGCTGCGGCACTTTCCAGGTGGAATCATGCAGGGCCCTGCCTGGCTTCTGACCCAGGTGACGGTGGCAGTGGTAACGGGCAGTCTGTTTAAGCTGATTCTTTTCTGTTCCATGGTCTTTCCAAGTTCAAGGTTCTCATCTCAGTCCCCTCACACTCTTTCAGGGTCTGTTTCAGGTCTTGTCCCTTCAACCTTCCCTCACCTTCCCTGGCCCAGGTAAATTTTGTCTAGTTTTTTGAGACAGAGTAGCCTGGACATCTCTTTATTCTCTTTTCAATTATTATTAGAGTTAAAAACCCTGTGGTTTGCTTTTTTCCTGGCCTTCTGTTTTTATTGCTAAAAGTCTTTTGAAACCAGGCCCTTACAATCCAAAAAGTTTGGGCTTTTAAATGTGTTGTGTGGGCATCAAGAGCCTATTTTGAAAGTCAAAACCATAACATTTATTTTTTTCCCCTGCATTTTTCAATGTTCTTACTGGCAATGTGGACACCATAGTGTAAGTATCAATCACATATAAGGAAGTACGCACACAGAAAATTACAGAGGTTAATAATTCAGTGTATTATCTCTAATGATACTAACACTTTTGATGGGACACATAGAACTATTACATGTCAAACATTGCTTATGTGTTATTTAATACTCGAAATAACCCTATGACATAAGTGCTGTTGTTATATCTATTTTACAGCTGGGGAGGTCAAGATTCAGTCTTATAAGTAGAGAAAATAGGCAGCATGATATGTGAAAACAAACTTTGTCCTGAACTCTAGCGTCGGTCCTGTCTTAGACTTCATTTTTCTCATGTATACAATGAGGAAGTTTATTTTCAAATCACCTTCAAACTCTAAAATTATAAATAGAGGTCTACAATCCTTGTCCCAAACCCTCATGGCCAGTTGTATGTTGGAATTCAGAAATTTTCAGATTTGTGAAAGGTAATGTAGTTTGAATACTATATGTTAATGATTAACTACAGTGGGATTTGGGGCAATGTCTTATAATCAGTGATACTTCTGCAGCAATTTTTTATAGTGAGAAAAATAAAGATTTTTGAAAAACTCTTAACAGTTCAGGTCATATGATATTGCCAAATTAGTTTGCTTAAACATATAAAAAGTTTTAGAACTCATTGGATTTATTAGTGTGGATTAGGGGTTGTGGGAACTGGACCAGTGAACGGATTGGGGTAATTATCAGTGATGCAAAATATTTTTTCTATTATTATTAATAATTCTGGATTCATAGAATTGACGTGTGGAGTAAAAGAAATGTTGCATGGAAAATGCTTATCACATTCCTTGAAAAAATTTAAGTTCTCAATAATAAGACTAATAAGTAATCATAATACTATCGCTGAGCTTTGTGCTTGGTTTTGGTTGCAGGGACATAAATAATCATTGAAGATAAAGATGGTGCACAGCCTCATTAAATTGTTCAAGGAAGATTGATCTAATGCATCTAGTCATGATTGTCAAGTGAAGTCAAGTGTGGCAAAGGGACACGTAAAGGAAGTAATGGTAATCAACCAGGAATCGATTCTCATGGACTTAAGTTCTATCTCTCAAATGGTTTGAGACACTTGAATGAAAGGGATAACATTAAGAACTCTAAGAGCCTACATTACAGCAGGCTCCAATATGATAAGGGAAAAGCAAAAGCTATGTTAAAGCAGATATGTCTTACCTCCCAAAAGAATATCAGCTGAATAAGGCTGTATAAAGCCCAAAGTTTTTCCACTGATACTAGCTCCATAGATTCAGTGCTTTGAAAGACGACTAATGGTATCCAACAGTAGTATACCAGGTAATTTAATTTGCCTAGGGAAGTTACTGTCTTCAAAAAGTAAATATATGCATGAAAGTTAGGTTCTTGAAGACTTATAAACTTCATATTTATGTTTATATATAATGTTTACATATAAAGTGATAAAGTAGACATACGAACTTTATATTTAAACGTTAATAGGGTTCTTACATTTAAAAAGTCATATATGACTCTTTTAAAAGATAAAGAAGAAAGAAAATACATGTATGCATCCCTCCTCACTCCATGTTATTTCAGTATGGGTTGTCACACGCTTAAAAAATCATCTCAGTAAAGCAAGCACATAAACTAGAAAAATGTCAATTATTAAATAATGATGACGAGTCAGGGGTAATTGCCTGAACTTTATCATGTACAGAAGTGCTGAGGCTTAGCAGATGATAGGGGAGAGTCAGTCACCTCTGCCAAAGCCCAGAGAGAGGAGAAGGAGATGCAGATGGAGCATACATTAAAGGTGGGGTCAGAGAGCGGGAAAAGTGTGGTGAGGATGAGTGAAGGCATCAGCACAAGGGAGGATGCTTTCAAAATCACCAAATCCAAGCATCACAGATGTTCTGTTGTTACACGGATTACAGAAACCATGTTGGAGCTTTAAACGACAGAAAATGTTGGCATGTTGGTAGAGTCTTTAATATAAAAATGTTTGTGATATATGGTAGTTAAGACACAGTTATGCTTTGGCTTAATATGTTACAAAATTAATGGGCTGTAGCTATATATTCTCTGATTGTTTGGCTCTGTTGATCAAAGTAGCAGTTATAGAATAAAATCTATGACCTGATTTTTTTATGGTAACTTCTGTAAAATATTTCTTTTTTAAGCTTTTATTTTAGGTTCAGGGGTATATGTACGGGTTTGCTATATAGTAAATTGCATGTCATAGGGGTTTGGTGTACAGATTGTTTCACTTCTCAGGTAATAAGCATAGTGCCCGATAGGTGGTTTTCTCATTCTCACCCTCCTCCCTCTCTACTTTCAAGTAGGCCTTGATGTCTATTGCTTCCTTCTTGGGGTCCATGAGTACTCAATGTTTAGGTCCCACTTATAAGTGAGAAGATGTGGTATTTGGTTCTCTGCTGCTATGCTAGTTCTCTTAGGATAAAAGACTCCAGCTTTATCCATGATGCTGCAAAGGACATGATCTCATTCTTTTTTATGGCTGTGAAGTAGTCCATGCTGTATATATACCACATTTTATTTATCCAGTCTACTGTTGATGAAAATAAGTTGATTCCATCCACGTCTTTGCTACTGTGAATAGTGCTGTGATGAACGTATGGAGGCCTGTGTCTTTACGGCAGAACAGTTTATATTTCCTTGGGTATATATATCCTGTAATAAGATGGCTGGATCATTTGGTAATTCTGCTTTAGTTCTTTGAGAAATTGCCAAACTGCTTTCCACAATGGATAAACTAATTTGCATTCCCACCAACAGTGTATAAGTGTTCCTTTTTCTCTACAAGTTTGCCAGCATGTTATTTTTTGACCTTTTAATAATAGCCATTCTGACTGGGTGAGATAGTATCTCATTGTGGTTTTGATTTGCAGTTCTCTAATGATTAGTCATGTTGAGCATTTTTTCATATGCTTGTGGGCCATATGTGAAAAGTGTCTTTTGAAAAGTGTCTGTTCACATCCTTTGCCCATTGTTTAATAGGGTTGTTTGTTTTTGCTTGCTGATTTAAGTTCTTTACAGATTCTGGATATTTTACCTTAGTTGGATGCATAGTTTGCAAATATTTTCTCTCATTCTGTATGTTGTCTGTTTACTCTATTGATAGTTCCTTTTGCTGTGCAGAAGCTCTTTAGTTTAAGTCCATTTGCCTACTTATGGTTTTGTTGCAGTTTCTTTTGGCATCTTTGTCATGAAATCTTTGCCAGGTCCTATGTCTGGAATGGTATTTCCTAGGTTATCTTCCAGGGTTTTTATAGTTTTAGGTTTTACACTTTTTAACCTGTCTTGAGTTGACTTTTGTATATGGTGTAAGGAAGGGGTCCAGTTTCAATCTTCTGCATACGGCTAGTCAGTTATCCCAGCATCATTTATTGAATAGAGAGTCTTATCCCTATTGCTTCTTTCTGTCAACTTTGTTGAAGATCAGATGGTTGCAGGTGTATGGCATTATTTCTGGGCTCTCTATTCTGTGTCATTGGTCTGTGTGTCTATTTTTGTCTTAGTACCATGCTGTTTTGGTTACTATAGGCTTGTAGTATAGTTTAAAGTCAGGTAATGTGATTCCTCCAGCTTTTTCTTTTTGCTTAAAATTACCTTGGCAATTATATTTTTGGTGCCATATAAATTTTAAAATAGTTTTTTTCTAATTCTGTCAAAACTATCACTGGTTGTTTGATAGGAACACCACTGAATCTGTGAATTGCTTTGGGCAGTATGGCCATTTTAACAATATTGATTCTTCTTATTCGATGTTTTCTTTTTTTTTAATTATTATACTTTAAGTTCTAGGGTGCATGTACACAACGTGCAGGTTTGTTACATATGTATACATGTGCCATGTTGGTGTGCTGCACCCATTAACTCGTCATTTACATTAGGTATATCTCCTAATGCTATCCCTCCCCGCTCCCCCCACCCCACGACAGGCCCTGGTGTGTGATGTTCTCCTTCCTGTGTCCAAGTGTTCTCATTGTTCAATTCCCACCTATGAGTGAGAATATGCAGTGTTTGGTTTTTTGTCCTTGTGACAGTTTGCTGAGAATGATGGTTTCCAGCTTCATCCATGTCCCTACAAAGGACATGAACTGGATGTTTTCTTTATTTTTGTCGGACTGAGTTAGTTTGGGGAGCCAGTTTTTGAGCTCTGAGATTCTTTCTTCAGCTTGGCCTATTCTGCTGTTAATAATTGTGATTTCATTATGAAATTCCTGTAGTGTGTTTTTTTTAGCTCTGTCAGGTCATTTTGGTTCTTTCTTATAACGGTTATTTTGTCTTTCAGTTCCTGTACTGTTATATTGTAATCCTTAGTTTCCTTGGATTGGTTTCAACTTTCTCAATGGTTCTCAATGGAATCTCAATGATCTTCCTTCCTATCCATATTCTGAATTCTATTGCTATCATTTCAGTCGTTTCAGTCTGGTTAAGAACCCTTGCTGTGGAACTAGTGTGGTTCTTTGGAGGAACCAAGGCAGTCTGGCTTTTTGAGCTGCCAGAGATCCTGCACTAGTTCTTTCTCATCTGTGTGGGCTGACTTTCCCTCAACTGTGGTGGCTGATGTTCCCTCAACTGTGCTGTAATTTGAGTACAGTCAGTTGATTTCTTTCCTGGATGTTTTCAGAGGACGAAGTGTTTGTGCTGGGTCATTATTTGCGCTGAATTCATGTCCTTTGTTTCTCAGGGGCGTTATGTTAGCAAAGTATTTTTGGTGCTGAAGTTTGGGCTATGATCCAGTAGATGGTGCTTAAGCATAATGGCCAGTAGTTAGGCTCTTGCTCAGCCACAAGGCTCCTCTGTGTTTCCTCCTAATTGCAGCTGTGCTCTCTCTCAGTGCTCTGAAACTGCCTGCTCCTCTCCAACTCAAGTACTGGCTGCAGATCTCAGCTTGGCACTCCTGGGCTGCTCACCACAGCCTTGGAGCAAGCTCAGGCTTTATGCTCCTTCTGCAGCCTGGAGGCAGCAGGGGAAGGGACCTTGGCAGTTGCTGTAGCAGAGGGCTTTTCACCGGTCTTTTGGAACTCCACCCCAGAGAAATGCAGAGCCACTACCAATTGGTGCAATCAGCCCGGGGTCAGGTGGTTGTATTGTGGGCCCAAGCCAAGGGCCTGCCTGGTGATGAGCAGGGGTAACAGGGGGTTGTGGCTGGGACAAACTGGCTTCTTTTCCTTAGGGTGGCTGCAGCTTACTGGAGATATGATTAAAGCACTCAGGGTCTTTGATCCATACCTAGTCCAAGGGCAGCAAGGGCAGTACCATTGCAGCAGCCATGGCAGAGGGGCTTTCAGTTGCCTCTGGGAGATCCACCTTAGAGAAATGCAGAGCTGCTGCTACTGGGAATGTTCAGCCAGGGGATGGGGCCACTGCACTGCTGGCCTGAGCTGAGGTCCCTGCTTGGTGAAGAGCTGACCCTGATTATGAAGGGTCATAGATCACAGATGATCTGCAGACTGACCAGGCTGCAAAGACAGAGCATATTTCTATGGACTTGAGTTTCTCAGAAACAAAAGAGGAAGGGACTGCTTTTATTTTGATTGAATTTACATTAACATCAATCTTCTTTAAACACTGCCTTCCACTGTCACCAACAGAAATACAAAAAAAGAAAAATGAATTACATTGTCTCAGAAGCATACTGCTTAAAGGGAGTTCATTTACTGACATGGGAAATGAGAAAATATTAGTGGAAAGAACACATTGAGTCTGTCTCCTTCCCATTGCTCCACCTACGGTGGGAGACCTCACCATGATCTTTCAACTTCTTTTACAATTCTCTTTCGCTCACCAAATGTTGTGTGCAGCACCAAAGCACTGAATATGTAGACAACAGTGGAGCGGGTCAAGAGGACTGCCCTTCCTGAAGTTTTTAATGCAGAGAACAGATGTGATAGAAAATCTGAGAGTTTTGACACACCAATTAGTTCACAGAAGAAAAATTCTGAGACTCTTGGTTTATGACATGGCAATCCTGTACGAACGTGATGACTTTTATTTTAGACGGTTAATTCCCTTTACTCTGTTCAATGGCCAAAAACTGGAGCCTTAGTTTCACTCAACTTCTTGGAAAAATACCTGTCATTGTTCACAAAGAGGACAGGAGGGTAATCCAAACAGTTTCACTTTTTGATTGCTTAACAACTATTAGAGAAAATGTATCATCACTTCTGTAAGAAAAAAAAAAAACTTCTAAGAGTATTGAGATGATTGAGTGAGTTGTGCCGTCTTCGGAGGTGAAGACGAACACATCTTTATTTATGCAAATAAAGCAAGAATGCCAGTTACCTAGTGGATGTGAGAATAGTGAGCCAGCACTGGTAATTTAAGGGATGCTCTTTCAGAATGTGTTCTTTATATTCGTGAATCATTCCAGTGTTCTTTGCTTCTAGGAAAAGGTGGTTCAAGATGTGTGCCTAAGTGAATACCAAAACTAGCAACGCATTGGGAATAATAAAGAGAGTGGGCAATATTTTCTTTTTTTCTTGTTTAAATCCTGAGTCAGCTGTTCTAATTAGGTAAATGGTCTTGAACTTACTAAATGATTACATCTTTTGCTTTCCTTGAGGGTTTTGAATCAGGTTGTAGGCTTAGCAGGTATATTTTATTTGAATTTCTCACAAACTTTTAGCAGACACTAGTTGTCTGAGGTACTGCTTCCTCTTTCAGATATTGAGAAATGCCTAAACACCTGTAATATTCTTTTCCAGAGACCACATCTACTTTCACGACACTATGTTGAAGAGGATTCTTGAAAATTTTTTATAAAGTCAGACATGCTTAGAATTGGGGACAAAAATCTGTACTTGGTTTGATTTATAAATTATGTCATAAGGACACAAAGTAGTGACTTAGAGAATTGATGTAGCTTACCAAGATGACTTTCTCTCAGGGAAAGTTTGGATCATTATATTTTAGGTTCTGGAGCTGAATAGTTGGAATATCAAAAGGGTTATTTCGAAATAACTAGATAGAAAAGCACAAGTAGATAACACGTATTCAGGGGCTCTTTGCATGAGAAAAATCCCATTAATTCAATTCCTCTAGGACAAATGACACAGAGAGAAAGAGACAGAGACAGAGAAAGAGAAAGAGAAAGAGCGCGCAAGAGAGAAATTGATAGGTGGGTATATGGATGGATGAATAGATAAATTCATAGATTTTAAGAAGATAATATATGTTCTAAGTAGAAAAAATTAATAACATTTTTCAAATGTCTGGGACATCATGCCAACCATTGTGTCTTACATTATTTCTAGTCATTAAAATCACTTAGTGAGTTGTGAAGTTTTATTAACATTTTACATAAAATTCCTCCAGAGTCTCAGAGATGTGAAGTGATTTATGAGACAACACGCTAGTATGAGGCAGAATTGGAATTCAAATTAGACATATCTGGCTCCAAAGCCCACTTTCTTTCAAGTATGTTATGCATCACAGTTTTTGTATTTTGTTGAATGAAGAATAATTTTCACTGAATTTTTTGTGTTTTGTTTAATAGCTTACAATTTATGTCCAGCCAGAGCAAAAGCACACAGCCGAATATGCTGCAAACATAACTAAAAGTGTGTTTGATTATTTTGAAGAATACTTTGCTATGAATTATTCTCTTCCTAAATTAGGTGAGGATCATTTTTTAATTTTCTTATTTTTAATATTGCCTTTGTTTTTATCTAAGTTAACTCATTTCTTCTAATTATGTCACCATCAGTTAACAGTTATCCTTAAGTCCTTTTATTCTATGCCGACAATATCTTGGGCTCAAGTAAGCCTCCTGCCTCGGCCTCCCAAAATGCTAGGATTACAGGCCTAATCAACCATGCCCAGCCTGTACTGTGTTCTTATCTGATGAATATATAATCTTGTGTTTCCAAATAAAGATGAAAGTATGTGCACAAAATGGCAGAGCTTGGTAGTGATGGAGCCACAAATAGCAACGTAGATCAGTTGATTTCAAAATCGGCATTCATCCCAATACTTGCTCTGCCTCCCTGTCATCAGCGAGTTAAAAAATAATAGGGATAAATGATGTTGTAAGAGCCCCATGTGCTTCCAGTCTTTCCATTGTTGTACAAGGCAAATTCTAGATTCCCCAGCAGTTTAATGAAATACTGGTGCTCCTTCCAGCAATAATTTTTTCTAATACAGAGGGAGACATGCATTCTTCATAAAGCAAAAGTGGGGCTACAACCAAAATGGTGTGCATATGACATTTCTATCAATAGTGGAAATGCTTTATTAATAAGCTCGAGAGCTATTAACAAAGACTTTAAATATAACACCCATATAGATGTTTGTAGGGATGAAATGAAGGCAGTAAGAAAACAAATTAGCCAACAGTTGGCCTCCCTGTATCTGTTTCTGCCTTTACTTTAATAACTTATCAATGCACACAAGGGGAATGCAAAATTCTCTGCATGGGAATGGCTGTGGCTCAGAGCAAGCTTGTAGATGCTGCATGTCTCTTCAATGGATACAATTCTATTTTTTGATTGCTTAACAAATGTTAGAGAAGGAGCTGGAAAAAGAAACAAGTTTTCATCAAAATCAGAATATTGGGCCAGGTGCAGTGGCTCACGCCTGTAATCCCAACATTTTGGGAGGCCCAGGCGGGCGGATCGCTTGAGCCCAGAGGTTCAAGACCAGCCTGGCAACATGGTGAAACCCCATCGCTACAAGAAATACAAAAATTAGCCAGGTGTTGTGGCACACACCTGTAGTCTCAGCTACTCAGGAGGCTGAGGTGGGAGGATCACTTGAGCCCAGGAGGTTGAGGCTGCAGTGAGCCATGATTGTGTCACTGCAGTCTAGGTGACAGAAGACCTCATCTCAATTTAAAAATATCAGAATAATATTTAATAAAATATTGTACACATGAATTTAAAGATCCTTTGCCTTTTATCTCAGTTGTAGCACCCAGGATAACCTGAGAAGTGGAAATCTCACAAATTTATTACTCTCTTCTCCTCTCTTTCTTTCTCCCTCTCCCCAACTCCTTTATTCTGTTTTATGTGCATTTTCAACCCTCTCAGAATTAATTATATCTTAGACTCCTTAGAGGTGACTTCTGCATTTATTAGACTCCAAAGAGTTAAATATACAAGAATTAGTTAGTTACAATGCCAGTACTGACCAAAAAAAAAAAAAAAAAAATGAGATTGCAAAAAATTCCTTTTGTTCAAGGATTAAGTGCAAACTGCACTCCACAACATTATGAAAAATATTGGCCCTTGGGGGAGATACTTCTCTACTTTTGAAATGACTGTCTTGTGATAAAATAACCAAACCTAAAAATGAGATAACATGAAAAGGAAACTACTATTGTAATCTTGACCTCTACTTAAGATACATCCCTCTTCATTCTTTTATAAAAAGCTCTAAGAATATTTATTTTGGCTGGGTGCGGTGGCTCACGCCTGTAATCCCAGCACTTTGGGAGGCCGAGGCGGGTGGATCACGAGGTCAGGAGATGGAGACCATCCTGGCTAACACGGTGAATCCCCGTCTCTACTAAAAATTCAAAAAATTAGCCAGGCGCGGTGGCGGGCGCCTGTAGTCCCAGCTACTCAGGAGGCCGAGGCTGGAGAATGGCGTGAACCCAGGAGGCAGAGCTTGCAGTGAGCCGAGATCGCACCACTGCCCTCCAGTTTGGGCAACAGAGCGAGACTCTGTCTCAAAAAAAAAGAAAGAATATTTATTTTAACCAGAAAGAAAGGGCCTTCTCTTATATGTTAAGTGAAAAATCAATTTGTTTTCATTTCTGTGCCTCATTTAAATTATACATAATAATAAAGAAATTACATTCTGTTTACAGTTCATTAACTGGGGAAGCTGTATTTTGGCCACTAATCATCTGAGCATTTTCTGTCTTGGGATTTAACATAGAACTGATCAACACTGCCTCCTCCTGTCAGATATTATGTGTAAGACTATAGAAACTCCTGTCCAACATTTTAGAACTGTAAGGGAATCTAGAGAGAATATAGTCAACTCCATGTTTCTCCAACCAATTTAATACATAAAAGCGGATGATAAGCTATTAGATTGGTATTTCTATCAATATTTTATAGAATTAGAGAAAAATGGAGTTTTATATTCTTGAATAATCTGTGTCTTTGGATGGAAAACTGTATCTATACACTTGGAAGCTCAGAACTTCTAAATACTAATTTGAAAACTTCTCTTTTTCCTCACGGCTTATCCCCTAAAACACATGTAGCTAATAAAAATGAAATACAGAGAGAAACAAAAGACATAAAATTATAGAGGCATTGCCATTAGTGTCCTTCTTTAAAACAAAAACAAAGCATTGATATCTGGAGCCAGCAGGGAATGCTCTATGGAAACTTTGAGTGCATTAGGACTGAAATGTTCGCACACATGATTACAGTTCTTTACTCTAAGAAATTATTTTTAGGCTTTTAAAAAACATTCATCCAAATAACTTAATTTGGTAAGAAAAGCTATGAACAAATGGAAAGAATGTATTTCTCACTGGACTCTTTCTTCTTCTATAGATAAAATCGCTATTCCAGATTTTGGCACTGGTGCCATGGAGAACTGGGGACTCATCACGT
Organism: Homo sapiens; assembly: GCF_000001405.40. NCBI lineage: Eukaryota > Metazoa > Chordata > Mammalia > Primates > Hominidae > Homo > Homo sapiens. The sequence goes on from NC_000004.12 coordinate 110,509,713, forward strand.
ACAGAGAAACGAACCTGCTTTATGACCCTAAGGAATCAGCCTCATCAAACCAACAGAGGGTGGCCACTGTGGTTGCCCATGAACTTGTGCATCAGGTACAGAATCTTAGCACTGAATCAGCTTGTTTTTTTAAAGTGGCTTAAGACCACAGGAATAATTCAAATTATTTATGACTTAGCAAATAAAAAATAGCCAACTCAGAAAAACTTGCATGAAAATCTTTCTTGGTACTAATAAACATTTAGCCATAAAGAGACTTTGAACCACATTGTTTTGCCTTTAGGAAATATGCACGAGGCCTTCATATAAATTTATGTACCCCAGTAATAACTAAATAAAGGCAATAAACTAAAGACAATTTAATATCATTTAAATAATCAGAATAAAGCAGGAAATAAATGTTAAGTACAATGCCTGCCACTTCTGTCACAGTGACAACATTGGCACGGACAAATAAATGTTTTGACATTTTCTAGGCCTCTCTACCATACCCATAAGAATGTAATTATCTCTTTATTGCTTATAATTTCAGTGGTTTGGAAATATTGTGACCATGGACTGGTGGGAAGACTTGTGGCTAAATGAAGGATTTGCTTCTTTCTTTGAGTTTCTGGGAGTAAACCATGCAGAAACAGACTGGCAAATGGTGAGTCCTAAACACATAAACTTGAAATCTCTCTTTTCCTCATGCAAAGCAGATGGAAGCCTTTGGACTATGATAATGGTCCCGAGTCAGATGGCAAGTACAGTGGTGAGCGGGGAATTCCACTGTGAGGATAGGGTGGAGCCAGCTGACTTCCACTGACTACACCTTGCCCCAGTACCTAGAAGGGCAGCTGATCATCACAATCTGGGGATATCCTTGACAGAGTCACTCAAAACACATTATCAAGGCAGGAAAAAAAAAAAAAAAACAGGTGGCATAGAAAATGTTAACTCTGTGTTCCAGAAAGTATCTATAGCACTAACCCTTTGAAAAAATGTCGGAGTCTCATTTGTGAACGACTTACTTTATTTCAGACAGATTGCAGAAACAGTGTGATGAAGAGATAACATAAATTTAGTAGTTAGATTAGTTAGATTGAAGTTCAAATCCTGAACACATCATTTCTTAGATGCATGACAGGGAATATGACCTTGAGCAAGTTACATAATATCTGAGTCCATTTTCTCCTTTATGAAATAGAACATTATTTTCTATCTTGTAAGCTTAAAAGCTCCCAAATGTGCATGTAATGACTATTAACAGGTAGTGTGTCCCTCAGAGGCCTGGAATAGAAACTTTTATGAACCCTAAAATTTTTTTTCAGAAAAGCTAGGTATAGTTGTTATTTATATTTATATCATGGGAGTATTCTTGATTGCATATATGAATGTGCAAATAGGTGGATGTGTCTAATTACAAGAGGTTTTGTACTGTGTAAAATACTGCCCTCTACTGGACAGAACAAAAAAGTTAAATGCTTGAAGCCCTTACAGTTTCTGTAGCCTGCTTTACAAAGCGAAAAGCCTAATTTACAACAATTACTTCTTTAAAAATCTTATCTACATCTGGATTTTTTTCAACTATGGAACTATTGACATTTTGGAGTAGATAATTCTTTTTTTGTGCGGGACTTTCCTGTGCGTTATAGGATACTTAGCATCCCAGACTTCTATTAACTAAATGCCAGTAACCTGCCAGCCCCTGTTGTGACAACTAAAAATGTCTCCACATATTTCCAGCTGTCTCGTGGGGGACAAAAATCTCCTCCAGTTGAAAACTACTCATCTACATGGAAAATTGCTGATTTTATAATTTATTGAAAATAAACTGTATAAATGGAAAATTGTGTTGTCCTTTATTTTCTCCCATACAGTATACTGAGGCCCTTATAGCAAACTGTTATAAGAAATTATAACATTTTAATATTGTCTAATATTCCAAGTACTGTGTTTCAAAAGCAATGGCTAAATTCCAGAAGAATTTGCTGTGCACTTCTTAAGTGAAATTTAATCACATCGTTCAACACAACAATTAATTCATTCCTTCATCTATTCATTCATTCCTTTTTTTTTTTTTCCTTTTTGAGATGGAGTCTCACTCTGTCACCCAGACTGGAGTGCAGTGGAGCAATCTCGGGTCACTGCATCCTCCACCTCCTGGGTTCAAGCAATTCTCCTGCCTCAGCCTCCTGAGTAGCTGGGACTATAGGCCCTCGCCACCACTCCTGGCTAATTTTTATATTTTTAGTAGAGATGGGGTTTTGCCATGATGGCCAGGCTGATCTTGAACTCCTTACCTCAGGTGATCTGCCTGCCTTGGCCTCCCAAAATGCTGGGATTACAGGCGTGAGCCACCGAGCCCAGCCCATTCATTCATTCTTCATTCAGCAAATGGAGGACTCCAAAATGAATAATGAATAAAATACACTTCTTGCCCTTAAGGAGTTCTCAATTTAAGGTCTTGTGGATGGAAGGGTCAGATAGATAAAGATATTTTATAAGCGAGCTCAATAAATACCACAATCATGGAATACCTCGTTTCACTGGTGAAAAATCGGAAGGCCAGGAAAATGATAGAATTTTCCAACATCACAGAGATAGGTGGTAGCAAAATCCAAAATCACACACACAGCTGGTAGCAAAATCCAAAATCACACACACAGCTGGTATAGTCAATCTTCCTCACACTGAGAACAGGATCTTTCTACTCACCATACTTAAACTTCCTAGGTATACAAAAATCAAAATGCAAGTCAAAATTATCTTGATTGGCAGTCATCACTTGACAGCAGTACCTTTCCTGTTATAAATGAAACCCGCATAATTGGAAAATGTAAGCCAATACAACATACTCCTGTTTTGGAAATATTTTTAATTAAGTAGAGCCAATGAAATTTTTAAAGTTAGTAGTGATTTAGCAGAGTTAGATTTCAGAATCTTACTGCTTAAGAGTCAAAATAACTATAGCAGCTAATGGGTTAGGTTCTCATTCTGTGCCAGGTACTATGCCAAGTACTAACCATGAATTTTATCACTGAGTCCTGTGCACAGTTCCAAAAAGTACAGGCCATAATTACTTCTATTTAATGGGTGAGGAAACTTGCTTAAACTTATATATCTAGAAAGTAAAAAGACTGAGCTTTGAACCAAGGAAATCTGACAGTACTGCTAGGCCTGTCAACCAGTCTGTATTGCTGACAAGACCTAGGAGGGAAACGAGAGGTGATTAGAACTAAAGGATAAACTGCCAATATTTTCTTTCATTAATTATGAAGTATCCAAATTCCAATAACAAGTTAATATTAGAAAAACCTGAACATCAATATTTGGCAAATTGATATGCAACCTCTCTTAATTCTTAGACCAAATCTGTGGAGTGATGTCATCATTCTCATTGCACAGATATAGAAATAGGGCTTGAAAAGTTTGGCACATATCCAAAAGTCACACAGAAGTCGCAGAAGCAGAATTCACAGAAGTTGATGTCTTCTCGGCCTGTCATCTGGGGGAAAATTAAAAGGAATTAGAAGTAGAAGAAGGGCATGAAATCAATATAGCTCAATCAGTGCAAAGTATGATTAATTTGAAGACCTAATGTTTAAGTAACTTAAGTCATTTATATTTATTTTCCTCCAATTTTTCTTATATATGGTATTTTAGTTTATAAACTAGTATAAAGGAAATACTATATTCCTTTGGCTCATTCTTTCATTTCAGCGTGACCAAATGTTACTTGAAGATGTATTACCTGTTCAAGAGGATGATTCTTTGATGTCTTCGCATCCAATTATTGTGACTGTGACAACCCCTGATGAAATAACATCTGTTTTTGATGGAATATCCTATAGCAAGGTGGGAGAAATAGAACATTGTTTTGAACATCTTCCTGTTTAGTGACTTTTCTTTTAGTGGATACCTAAAAATGGTAAGAATGGTCACACTGTGCCAGTGAGCTTTGGAAAACAGTGTAGAAGTTATTCTGAGTGCTGAATATTCAATAGTTTGTACTTTTCAGTATAATTTAGTGCTGGTCATTGTCACAGAATTTTAAAAGAGATTTTTAAGAATTTCTCTTTACACATTTGTATATAATTATTTTCATTCTGATAATTTAATATTTAGACTTGAAGCATCACATTTCAAATTGTTTTATTTGATTTTTTAAAAGACAATAAATCTTTTTCTTCTATGTGGTCAACAAGAAATGCTGTATATGTGCACAGCTTTCCTAGTAGAACATTTTAATGCCTGCAATAAACATTTAAATCCAACTCAGAAGGAAATACTTTTATTCCTTTTTAGAAGATGTAAAGATGAATTTGTTAGCATATTGTAGGTGAGGATTTTTTCTTCACTAATATTTTATGAAAAGTTGCTGGAAATCTGTAACTCCAAGATTTATGTGACACATTCTGTCCCACAATATTTCATATAGTCTCTCCTTCAAACATATTCCACATCTGTATGTAACATAATTTAAATTTTATTTTAGTCATTTTCTACTTCAGCTTCTCATGGGTTTCCCACTACACTGAGATGCTTAGAAGCTACTGCATGCTAATACATTTTGTTATCCTGAGTAATACCTAAAGTCTTATTTGAGTCAAAAATATTATAATTATTAAAATGAATACTTGAGTGAAAAAGCTTCTATGTATTAGCATTTGAAATTCTTAGCATCATATTTTTGACTTTCCCTCTCATATGATTCCCATGGTGTATGTTCAGCCTTCTTGTATTCATTTTTCTTTGATATTATGAATGATTCCTTTTATCTTTATGTCGAAATGAAAATTTCGAATCCACTTATAGCCTATTCTAATTATTCACATGGGAGAAGTTTAAATTTATTCAATCATTTTTCCCCTTAGTCCTAGATACTCCTCAGGTTTAAGATATTATGTCCAAGATAAATAAATGTTTCTAGGCCTTTAGCTTTCTAAATAGGTATAAAATTAATTTAGAATGCTTAATAACTTACAATAAAAATTACTAATTTAAGTGGGGGCAGTGTTCTTTTTTCATTCAGTTACTTGAAAATTGATTTAAAATATTACAAATTGTGCATTTCAGTACTAACCTTATAACACATAAAAAGAAAGTACAGAGCCAAGATGTTCATCAGATTCTTCAGATGAAAGGAAAGCAAATGAGATAGACTACTGAGAAGAGAAAGATTATATGCCTAAATTATGTATCCATGTATATTAAGCTATTTGACCAGATAATTCCTTGACTATCTACTTCCCTCTGCTAAATATAATTCTTATTTTCAAATATGAAAATATATTTAATAAGTTGGCAGAATTTTACCCTGAAACTACTTTCCTCATTCATCAAAGAATGTGATTTTTTAGACTATTTCTCTTTCATTAAGAAAGCCCCATCTGCTGGTTTATTTGGGGAAGTGCAATAATTATTTGAATCTGAAGTCCCTGAAATGATGGCCATTTTAGCAATTTCTCTTTACCTTTTAGTTATTTTAGATGCATAGATACAGGGACTGTGCCAAGTGGTATTTTCATCCTAAAATCATAGAGCCATATAATTTAGCAGAATCATCTTGAGGAACTAATCTCACAAATATGATCATGAAATACTAGTTGCAAGAGTAATAACTGATCATTGTTCCTTACATAGCCTTTATTAGTTTCATTTGTCTTTTTATCCCCATTGTAGGGATCTTCTATTTTGAGAATGCTTGAAGACTGGATAAAACCAGAGAATTTTCAAAAAGGATGTCAGGTATGATTTATTACTTTTAGTGATATCAAAATTAAACTACATTGATATGTGGCTGGTGAATGTTAAGATATGTGATTAATCAAGGATAATTTCCTTTTTAATCTCTTTACTGAGGCATAGATAATATAGCAAAAGATAAAAACATGATTTTACATCCAATTGAGTACCTACATTGTATCTGTAATGATCATTTAGCAGAAGTCTCATGGAGAAGTTGAAACAGATTACTTAGTTATTTTTGAAACTCCTTACATGTGTCTTAGTCAGCTTGGGCTGCCATAAGGAAATACCATAGACTGGGTGGCTTAAACAATAGAAATGCATTTTTCTTGCAGTTATGGAGGCTGGAAAGTCCAAGATCAAAGTGCTGGCTGATTCCGTTTCTGGTGAAGCCTCTCTTCCGGGCTTGCAGATGGTAGACTTCCCACTGTGTCCTCATAGCAGAGAGAGAGAGAGGGAGAGAGAGAGAGCACTCTGGTGTCTCTTATAAGGATACTGGTTCCACCATAAGAGTCCCAGCCTCACGATATCATCTAAATGTGACAGCTCCCAAAGGCTTCGTTTCTAAATACTATCACACTGGGGGTTAGGGCTTATATGAATTTCAGGGAATACGATTCTTTCCATAGCAACATGATATAAACATCTAAATTTATCTATAAAGGTCATTCCTTATACTGAGTACAAGACTTTTCCCTTATTATTAGATTAGAAAAGATCAATATTAGTATGCTTATTACAATGGAGTCAGTGAATAAAGAGGCTTGCTTCCTTTTGGTAACAGAAATGACAATAAACTTTCTGAAACATTTCACACATCCCACTTAAGCGTATTATTCCAGGAGATGTTTCTGTTTCATTTTCGTTTTTCTAACAGACCCTAAGCCAATCGTCCCAGGTTTGTTTTTATTTTTAATTTTATCAAAGTAGCTACAATGTGTCCCTATAACTGCCGTCTCTGCAGGTTGGCCCCATTCCAGCCTAGAAATGAAGTTCTCTTCCTACTCTTTCCCTTCCACCTACATCCTGCCTGCTGCGATAACCCAGGTAGTCAGGAGTAGCAGTGCTGACGGTATTCATCCCAGAGAGCAGAAAACAGGTTGGAGAAATGCCCCCTGCTGGCTGCCACAGAAAGTACTTCTTCTGTATGTGATTCCCCAGGAGAAGGTCACCATTCACATAGATCTCACTCCCATCAAGCCTTCTTATGTGGCATTTAGCCCTCTCTACACTACTCTAAAAGAAAACGGCCCCCTTCTACCCAATAGTGAAACATCTAGGTGATTATTAAAGTAAGAAATAAAGTCAAGATTTCGGAAATATTTGGAAGTATATCAGTATATTTTAACCCTTTGTCTATTAGTAAAATATTTTGTAGAGACATTAGGTGCAAAGAGAGAAGCTATGTGCTTGTGCTTCTGCATCATGAGAACATCTTGTAACTTTTCCATAAGTTTCAAACTCAAATGTTATCATATATTCCCTCACTGTAAGCATTATTATTATTATTATTGTTATTGAGACAGAGTCTCGCTCTGTCGCCAAGGCTGGAGTGCAGTGGCGTGATCTTGGCTCATTGCAACCTCTGCCTCCCGGGTTCAAGCGATTCTCATGTCTCAGTCTCCCGAGTAGCTGGAATTACAGGCACCACCACACCCGGCTAATTTTTATATTTTTAGTAGAGACGGGGTGTCGCCACGTTGCCCAGGCTGGTCTTGAACTTGTGAGCTCAAGAGATCCGCCCGCCTCGGCCTCCCAAAGTGCTGGGATTACAGCCATGAACCACTGTGCCCTGCCCATTGTAAGCATCTTTAATCAGGGACTCTGTCTTCTATATCTTTACCCATACTGCAGGGCCTAGTTTAATTACACATGTTACGTCATCCTGAAAATGTTTGTTAAATGAATGAATGAGTGAATAGCCTATAATAAATTATACAGGACATAGAAATAAAGAAGATTCATTTTCAAAAATTAAGTTAAAATTCAGTTTGTATAGTTTTGATTCTAAATTAAATTGTAATTAATAAATAACAATTTTGGCATCTTCAGAGCTGGCTTCAAATTAAATAATCTTTCATATTGACTTTGATAGAGAAGTACTAAGATTCCTTGAAAATGAATAGCTATCCTAATAATTCCATAAAACTCTCATATTTCCTTTAACCTAGTATCTATGTTATAATTAATTTAAAAAACCGGTTTTGTCTAAAATTAATAATTCTTAAGTTAAAAGTCTTCCTTTAACTGTGATCACAGATGGTGCTAAAAACTGAACTATGAAGAATAGATATTAATATTTCATGCCATTATAGTGCTATGGAATGAATTTACACAAAACACCCAAACACCCTTTTCCTTCAATCTTCAAACACTAGCTAATATCTGAAAATAGTATATGATCGATATGGACCACATCCAATAAACCCTCAGACCAACTGGAACATAGTTCCATAGTTCACATAGTTTGAGCATCCCAACAATATCCTCCTTGAGTTGTCATCATCACTCTATGATTGTTGCCCTGAAATCCCACAGGCTATGAATGGGAGTTCAAGGTATTTCTGTTGCAAATACTAACTTTCTGCCCAAAGTGACTCTTTATTAGCTAACCTGGTGTGGAACTAAATCTGGGGCTGGCCATTTGTCTATTCTCTTTCATGCTCATCACCTTGCCCCAAACTCAACCTCAAACAGCAAAATAGGTGCAGGATGGGGGAAATAAGAGCAAAATTATCAACTGGAAAATCTTTAAGGCTATACATGTACATAAAAGATGTAATAGAGAAGGGGACATTCATAACAATATGTGGTCATGAAATAGAAACCGAGAATATATTCTTCCTTTCTTTTTCTTCTAGTATCAGTAGTACTGTCAATAAGACAGGAATGGGTCAGCTGGAAAATGTCTTTTCCCTTCTTGGGATACTAGTAACAGAAACATTGTTCGTTTCCTTTTGTGCTCACTGATTCCAACTAATAATGAACTGTGACCTAGGTCATCGTGTAATTTTGACTTGAATGATTACATGATTATTCAAGGTGAAGAGGGAAGTGTCTTAATATAGAATATTCAAAAGCACTAATCTAGACAATATAAAATTAGTACCTTTTAATATGCTGATTACATAAATTTCCATTCAGCCTGTGGTTCATGAGAAGCAAGAAACTGCAATTTTAAAAGCAGTAACAACAATAACAGTGATGAAAACCACACACACTGATCCAGGGTTCAGAATTCTCCTCATCATAATCTCAGGCAAATCTCTTCACCTCTGAAGGCACCCAGGTAGTTAGGGAGAGCAGTTTCCTTCACCTCAAAATGTGGGAGCTTTATTAAATAATATTTAAAGTCCCTTCCAGTTCCACGATTGCATGGTTCTAAGCTCAAGACCTTGTAGTAGTCAAACTCCTCTAAATTAATTTTAAAAGATATTCAATAGAAATTGTCATCAAAACACAGCTATGGTTATAACTATTACTATGCCAAGTATTCAATTATTATTATTTAAAAATATTAGACATTTGATTTACCAAATATTCAATTATTTTATTAAGATATGATGAATGATTTGTGCAACTTTCTGTAATGAATACCTAAAAGTGATTGCTGCTTCTCCCTTCCTTTGCCTGCCCTCTGGTGGTAGTGCCAAGAAGTGAATTAACCAAAAGAACAAATATGGAGGCAGCATTCCAAAGTGGCTTCATCCCTCTTCCAGGCTTCTTGGAGTCCTTCTAATACTGTTTTATCTCTATGTCTGAAAAGAAGAGGAATTTAGGAGGTAACGTGATTTAGGTACAGCACCTACTGAAAATTATAGCAACTTAGAGTGAAAATGATATGTGCAAAGTTAACATTAAGAACACTGAAGATGGTTCCATTTTCTATCAAAGACCTCCACTTTCAGTCAGGACAATTCTAGAAAGCAACAGAGGAGTGATACAGCAGGAACTTAGGAAAGTTTACTGGCAAACTCCAAGTGGCTCCCAGTTACGGGATTAGAAGACTGGGAATTTTTTCTGGGGATAAATCACACTATATTTGAAAACTCACATATAGAAAGAGGTTTTGTAAAGAAAATTGCCAAAAGAAGCTTAAATCTAAAAGACTTGTACTTTAAAATATTTGAAGAGTGAAGACTTATGCTTTACAGTGAATAATGTCCCCAATTCATCCACCACCACCACCACCACCACCATCATCATCATTATTATTCAAAAGGTTGTATATTTATTTCCTTAGAGCAGAGATCAGCAAGCTACTGTCTGCTGGCCAAATCTGGCCCACCATCCATGTATTTTTTTTAAGGCTCATAAACTAAATATGGTTTCCACATTATTAAATAGTTGAAAAAAATCAAAAGAAGAAGAATATTTTATGATACATGAACATTGTATGGAATTCAAATATCAATGCAACAGCCGTGCTCATTCATGTACATGTTATCTATGGCTGGTTTTGCGCAATGGAGGTAGAATTGAGTAGCAGGGGTTCAGTTCATCTTGTGAAAGTATGAGAAAAGCAAACATTGACTTCTAACATGCTGATTATTTTTTACACACAGATGTACTTGGAAAAATACCAATTCAAGAATGCAAAAACTTCTGATTTTTGGGCAGCACTGGAAGAGGTAAGGAAGAGTATATGTCCCCAAATATTTCTTTGTCTGATTTACAAATGGCTTACCAATCATTTTCTAATCTAACTATTCTATCCTTTTATTTTCTCATATTTGTTAATTAATTAATCTCCATTTTGTTTTCAATCTTAGGCAAGTAGGCTACCAGTGAAAGAAGTAATGGACACCTGGACCAGACAGATGGGTTATCCTGTGCTTAACGTGAACGGTGTCAAGAACATCACACAGAAACGCTTTTTGTTGGACCCAAGAGCTAACCCTTCTCAGCCCCCTTCAGATCTTGGGTAAGGCTCTATAATGCATTGAAAAAAACACAGAAATTTGGCAGAAATATTGGTAATTTGTTTATATCCTATTGTTGAGTACATGATGGATGAGTGATATACAAGTATAAAGCCACAGTGCCTTTAGGGGAACAAGGAATTCAAAAATAGCCAAGTGATTTCCAGGTTTGAAATGGTGGGCAGAGCACATCCATCCGCATCCTGTTCTTTACAGATATTGAAGAGAGGAATGGAATTACCTAAAGAAATAAACCTACAAGAATAAAGAAAATAAAGGGAGGGGCTGTAAGTGTCACAGAGTTCTGAAGAAGTAAAGCAGAAGGAGAAATACAGACTGAGGAAAATACAACCAGATAATAATAAGGGAACTTCCCTATCCCTAGACAGGTTCTAGGTACAGTGTTAGCATGAAGACTGAAGGGTAAGAGTGAGAAGTGAGGCTGGAAATAGGACAATGAATTGAAAGTCTAGTCTCAGGACAATTTGTGCCAGCTGGACCCACCCCTCACCCCTACTTTCTCTCCGCCACCTACCATTTCTTTCTCTGCACACAGCTCTCAGAAATCTGGCAATGGCTCCAGGAAAAAATACAGTGGGCTTGTTTCCTAAAGAAATTGACTAAAACAGTAGAGGAGAGCTAAGGATTTCCATTTGGTTGAGACTCTCAGAGTAAAGCCTCCCTCATTATGTTATTTGCAGGATGGGTGGGCTGGAGCTGACAGCACCCCTCATACACACAGGCAGAGCTCCCAGTCAGACCTTCTGCTCAGCAGAGAAACTTACTTCAAAAATACAACTCCCTTCAGCCTGGGCAACATAACAAGAGCCTGTCTCTACAAAAAATTTTTAAAAAGGCACTGGAGTATGGTAGTTCATGCTTGTAGTCCTAGCTAGTCAGGAGGCTGAGGCATGAAGACGACTTGAGTCATCTCAAGTCAGGAGTTTGAGGCTTCAGTGAGCCATGATCACAACACTGCACTCCAGCCTAGGTGACAGAGCAAGAGCTCATCCCTAAAAATAATAAAATAAAATAAAATAAATAATTATATATATACACATATATGTATGTATAAAATCCCTTCTCGATAATAGAGAGAGTACACGCCAGCTACTAGAATCAATTTAACTCTTTCTTAAATATGAATGACAAAGATCACAAGATACATGAAAAAATTTGGAAGGATAAAAGGTTAAAATTTCATGTGAACAAACAACTCCTGACTTTATAAGATGCATAATTAAGGAAACAAAATAAATGTATGAGATGCATTCAGAGATGAAGAACTATTACACCAATGAACCAGGAGCAGAATGTCTTAGAAAGGACAAATTGAGAACACAAAAGAACCTGAAAGATTAGATTTCTGATTCTCAAAAGAATTAATAGACCAACTAAAAATAAATTTGGCAAATCCTCCAAAAATACAGGGCAAACACACATAGAGCTAGCAAATATAAAAGAGAAGACAAATATGAACAGTCTAGCACCCAACAGATAGGTGTTTTTATTTTTTGGCTTTTTTTTTTTTCGAGACAGAGTCTCACTCTGTCACCCAGGTTGGAGTGCAGTGGCGCAATGTCAGCCCACTGCAACCTGTGCCTCCTGGGTTCAAGCAATTCTCCTGCCTCAACCTCCCAAGTAGCTGGGATTACAGGTGCATGCCACCACACCCGGCTAATTTTTGTATTTTTAGTGAAGGCGGAGTTTCACCGAGTTGACCAGGCTGGTCTTAAACTCTTGACCTCGGGTGATCCACCCACTCAGCCTCCCAAAGTGCTGGGATTACAGGCGTGAGCCACTGTGCCTGGACTAGATAGGATTCTTTTTTTTTTTGAGACAAACTCTCACTCTGTCGCCAGGCTGGAGTGCAATGGCAGGATGTTCGCTCACTGCAACCTCTGCTTCTCGGGTTCAAGCCGTTCTCCTCCCTCAGCCTCCTGAGTAACTGAAACTGTAGGTACACGCCACTACACCCAGCTAAGTTTTGTATTTTTTAGTAGAGATGGGGTTTCACCATGTTGGCCAGGATGGTCTTGATCTTCTGATCTCATGATCCATGCACATTGGCCTTCCAAACTCCTGGGATTACAGGTGTGAGCCACCGTGCTCAGCCAATAGGCGTTCTTTAAAAGGAAAACAGAGAAACTTGGAGGCAAATAATATCAAATACATAATAGAGGACACAAGGATTCTGATTAACAGACCCCACTTAGTAAACAGTACAAACAGGAAAAACCAAAACCCCAAAACATACGTAGATACACCCTCACAAAATTTCAGAAAACAGAGACATAAGTTAGTGTGGCATTAGACTTCTCCACATCAACCCTGAATGCAAGAAGCGAATGAGGCAATGCTTCCAAAACACTGAAGCAAAAAATATTTTCAGCCTCTAGTTCTATACCCAGTAAAATTAAACCAAGTGTGAAAGTACATTAAAGACGCTTTCAGAAATGCAGCCCCAGAAAATGATTTCCACATAACACTTTTTTGAAAGTTACTTAAGGCTGCACTTTAGAAAGGGTTTTGGGGGTTGGAGGAGAAAGAGAAAGAAAAGAAGGGAGGATATGAATAAATAAAAAAAAAGTGAAATACATGGGACACAGGATCCAGGAAACGGTACATCCAACCTAGGAAAACCACGAAAGGAAATGCTCAGGGTGCTGTGAGTGCCTGTAAGGGCAGGATGACTGGAGCTGAGGTAGGCGATCTCCAGGAAAAAGAGAAATTCTCTCCAGTGGGTAGTGCGGTTGGGAAGATGAAAAAAACTTGAGGATTTGGTGAAAGCCCATCCGTTTGGTCAACTATAAAAAAGAAAATTAGAAAAAACCCAAATCAAAGACTATATATAAAAATTATGATCCAAAAATATGAAGCGGAGTTCTCACAAGATCTGATGGTTTTATAAGGCCATTTTCCCTGCTCTTGCTTGCTCTCTCTCACCTGCCGCCATGTAAAATGTCCCTCTCCCCCTTCTGCCATGATTGTAAGTTTCCTGAGGCTGCCCCAGTCGTACAAAACTGTGAGTAAATTAAACCTCTCTTCTTTATTAAAAAATAACAAAAATATGAAGCAGATAGAATGATTTTATGCCATTGATACAGTATAAGAAAAGGCTCTGATATTAGAGAAATTTTACTTAAGTGGCTCAGGGGCCATGAAATTGGACCATGGTGTAAGAAATAGATCTCCCCACACTCCTTGACCAACACTATATACAATATACATGCTATAATTTCATAAATATTAGGTATTGACTTTTAACTTTATAATCAGCCAATGGAAAATGTAAACATTTTTGTTATGGTGGCAGAATAAATTGCAAATATAAAGTCTTGACATTGTAACAAGAAAAATCAACTGACAAAAAAAGGACATGGAAGAGGGAGAAAAGGTGGGAGAAAGTGTTGGGATACTACTTCAGTGGTGTGCAGGAACGGCTGTCTTCCCAACTTAGTAACATTTTCTTGTCAGTGACATGTTGGTAGCTTGAAAATGCTCCTGATGGGAGTATTACGTGGAAATGAGCAAATACTACGTTTTGCCCATATGAAAACTGGGTGTTAAACATTTACCAGTACTCCAGTGGATATCCTCATTTAAGTCAGGAGAGTAGTTAAGACTAAAATTTATGAAGCAAGAAATGGCAGTATGAGTATATTATTTAGAGGCACAATTACAAACTACAGAAAATCTAAAAATAATTTTATTTTATTAAATTTTATATTAAAAGAGAAATGGAAGAGAAAGTAATATATATATAAGCTCAATCACCCTCTTTTAATGGGTAAGTTAATAAATATTGTCTAAATAAAACAACAGAGGCATTTAAAGTCCAATTAGACTACAAAAGCACTAAAACCAGATCACTTAATAGGGGATGCTTCCGAGCAGGGCTGGCCTGTGGGAAGGGTGAGTAAGGAGATGGTGGTTTTTCAACACTAACTTTTTAAGTTTTTGAGTAGTGATGAATTTATCTACAAATTGCACACATTAAATTCTCCTGAGCATTTAAACAGCACTTACAAACTTAATCAAGTCCTCTTAAGGATATATCACTTACAAGAAACTTATAAATGTAACCAAATTCTTCTAAACAACACTAGCTAAAATTTTACCGAATTCATTTACAATTTCAAAATACAAACACCACCAAAGAAGCAGATTTATAAGTCTAATTAAAATTTTTTCTATATATTTTATGAATCCAACAAATTAAAACTCAAATATAGTGTATCAAATTTCTTGCACATTTTCATTATGTTAAAAATCAAACCCTTAACAGGATTTTTCTAGACATTTAAATATGGCTACTGAGTTAAGATTTTCTAAGTATTTCAATTAAAACAATTCCAGTATGTCATTTTCTCTACTTTGCCAAATGTATTTATTTATTTAATTTATTTTCTGAGACAGGGTCTTGCTGTATCACATAGGCTGGAGTGCATTGGTGAAATCATAGCTTACTGCAGCCTCAATCTCCTGAGCTCAAGTGATTTTCTCACCTCAGCCTCCCAAGTAACTGGGACTACAGGTGCTCACCAACATGCCCAGCTAATGTGTAAAAAAGTTTTTGTAGAGAAAAGGTTGTTCAGGCTGGTCTCAAACTCCTGAGCTCAAGCGATCCTCCTGCCTTGGCCTCTCAAAGTGTTAGGATTACAAGTGTGAGCCATCGCAGATGACCTCAAATTTTAAAAAATGTTTTATATATTGTAAAGGCTGATAAAGCATGCAAAGCACAGCTGAGGATTTCAAAACTTATCACACCTGCATGAATACAACTTGCACAAAAATCTTAATACTATAAACATTTCTGCATAACTAAATCGTTATTTTTGTATGTATTTCTTGGGTGCCAGCTGCTCCCATCTGAAGGAAACAAATTCAAAATCTCAGGAACTCCAGTCCCGGGCCTGGCCCCAGGAGCTGGGATGTACCACTCTGGGGACATCTTCCTAGCCCGGGTTACCCAGCTGAGCCCCTCCTAGAGTGGATACTGGCAGCGTAGCACATCACTAGTCCTCTGGACGTTGTTCCCATTTCACCCATGCCCAGTTTTTATTGCCCCCTCTTTCAACATTTGAATGCTTTGCTTGAGCAGAGAGAATCTTCACCCGTTCCCACCCACGTGTCCTCTAATCTCCACTGCCTGATTGTCACTGAAGAGACACTTTGTCTTCTTTTTCTCCTTAATGACTTCATTGACATTATTTTATAGTCACATATATAAATTATTGTAAGATCAATTATCTTGTAGCAATTAGAATAACACAAAAAGATGTTTTAGAAAGTCTTTAACTCTAAACTGGTTCCTTTATAGTTACTGGTCTATGTTCTAGCAAATTAGGTTGGCCAACTCTAATAACCACTGGAATATTTGGATATTAAATCTAAAAATATGTCTCTTGTCAAACAAGCTTCCATTTGGAAAGTTTCACAGTAATTATTCTCTCTTACTATATGAGTCCACTGATTTGCTGAGCCTCAATTAATTGGGAGAGGGAAGCAGGAGGTGGAGTAGGGCAGGGAGGGTCACAGAAGGCTTTCTTTTCCAGGGATGTGATATTTAAGGTGAGCAAATTGGTGTGGGGAAGTGACTTCTCTGGATGTTCAAAATAGAAACTATGGCCGGGCGTGGTGGTTCATGCCTGTAAGCCCAGCACTTTGGGAGGCCTAGGTGGGTGGATCACTTGAGGTCAGGAGTTTGAGACCAGCCTGGCCAACATGATGAAACCCCATCTCTACTGAAAATACAAAAATTAGCCGGGCATGGTAGCACACACCTGTAATCCCAGCTACTCGGGAGGCTGAGGCAGGAGACTCGCTTGAACCTGGGAGGCAGAGGCTGCAGTGAGCCAAGATCATGCTACTGCACTCCAGCCTGGGTGATAGAGTGAGACTCTGTCTGAAAAAAACAGAACAAACCCCCCGCCCCAAAACAGAAATTACAGCGTATATGAAAGCCCAAAGTCTTATACACATGATTTACAACACTTATTGAACATTGACCAAGTGGTTGGCACTATTTTAAGCACTTCAGATGCATTTTATTTTATAGTAAATGAGGAATTTGTGGTAAAAGTGATTAAGTAATTTCAAGGTCACACAGTGTAAATAATGGAGGCTTGATGTAAACCCAGGCAGTCTGGTTCCAAGAAACGGGATAGCAGAGAGTGACTGGGAAAAGTGGTGTGAGGTGAAGACGAAGAGGAAGGCAGGAACCAGGTATGCAGACCATGTTAAAGATTTTGAAAATAGTATGCAAATTTAAGGATTTTAAGGAGAGAATTGGCAGGGTCACATTTACATTTTTCAAAGCTCTCCTCTTGCTGCACTGTGGAGAACTGATCACAGATCCTGGGCAGTTGGGGAGGAGTGGAGGCAGGGAGACCAGTTAGGACAATATTGCAATGAGCAGCCCACGTGATAGTTGATGGAAACAATAAGCCTGGGCTAGGTAGGAGTGGCTGTGGGCTGGAGGGCATGGCAGATGTTCCAAAGATTTTATTGAGCTAAAATTCCTAATTAAAGAACAATGTGGAAGGAATTCAATCAGGTGAATTGGCGGAGAACAATCTCCTTTTAGAATATTGTTCTCATCTTGCACCACAGTGATCGTAGCCATATTTATTCAGAAGAGAAAGATCTTTATAGTCTCATTTCATGATGGGTACTCTATAAGGGGGGTAACAGAGCCTGTTTCCTGGATTACAATTCAGGGCTTGGGGAAATAAGTCACACTACAGCACACTCAGGTGTTTCCAAAAATTAAAATTGCCGAAGCACTTGACTTTCCAAGGCATCAGAGAATGATGAACTCTCAGAATTATTAAATTAGCTGCTTCCAAGATGCCAGTTGACACCTGAACTGGAGAAGCATTGAGAAAGCCGTTGTACTCAACTCGTTGAGGCTCATTTCCGGCCTCTCTTCCTGGAAACCTCAGACACCCAGCCTCCCACACTAAGTGACATTCAGAGAAACTGGGTATCCTGCTATAATGCGAGTTCTGAAAATCAATAGGTCACACCACAACAAAGGAAAATTTGACTACTTAGACCAATATGAGGTCCCTTCAGGGAGTGTCTGTATACTCCCTGAACTCTGCAGGTAAGTGTACTCCTTACCTTTATTTTAGAAAGGAAAGATTAGATGATGATGGAGAAAACATTTGTTTTTCACTTTTTCCTCTTCATGATACATGAATTGAAACATAGATCTGACTTGTTTTCAGGTGATAATTCAACTACGAAAATCATAGAATAATCTCTGTGGTAGTTCTGCTAACAACTATAAAGTGTTTCTTTTATAGTTACTGTTTTGTGTTCTAGCAAATTAGATTAACTATTTAATACTGCTGGAGCCTCTGGATATTAAAATTTAAAAAGTATTTCTCTCTTGAGAAATAAACTTACACTGGGAAAATTTCCCAGTAACTGTTACTTCCTCTCATATGTATCCATTAATTTGTTAAGCCAAAGACAGTCAACAATTTAAGCCAAAGACAGTCAACAATTTAAACTAAGGAGTTTTTTTAATTAATGGGGTTGGATTTTTACAAGCTGCTTGTTGGTTATGAATTTCTCTTCACACAAACCAAACAATTTTACTGCCAAGTGAACTAAATATATCATCACGGTATAAAATCAATTTTTGTAACAGTAAATTTTAAAATTTTATTCACCAAGACTTAGAACATAGAACTGTATTCACATTTATACTGTCTTTAATATTTGTCTTCAGTTTCCACCTTCAGATACTATTTTCATTTTATTTATATTCTTAGTTGCATGAATTTTTTTGTGATGGCTTATCATAAAGTTAATATGTTCATTCTATTTTTATTTTTTAAGAAGTCATATATGCATAGGAAAAGAGACTTAGAAAAGAGGTTCTTCTCTGTTGAGAAAGTTTGTTAAAAATCCGTAGTAGCTCCTGAACAAATAAGAAAGAACCATTATAGCAAAAGGATTCTTCTTTGTTTAAAAGAAGAATTTGATCATAATAAATGCCTTCATGCACCCATAAAGGAATTAGCTTTTTTTCCAATCCTAACTTCCATCTACTTTCTGTTCAGATGTGTTCCTGTTTGGTAGACAGTGTGGCCAGTTAAGTTGTACTGTGAGTTCAATGATCTTCTATAAATATTTTCTCACTGTTTAAATAATCCAAGATTAGGGAATTCTTACTGACTAGAACCTTTTTATAATTCAAATGGCTCACCCATGTATAAGTTATTGCTTTAACACCATGTCCTCAACCATCTCTTAGAAATGAGCCAGTTTCACATCTCCATCCCGGGATGTCTCTCTCAGGAAAGCATATGTGCCTTTGATAGTCCACTCCATGTAAACAGGCAGAGGGAATGGGAGTAAGTGTGTCAGCTTGGTGCAATCAAAGTCAGTTTCCTTAGAGAAAATTAGAGTGGCCATATTTCATACTGCTAGAACCTCTTACATGGTTAGATAGTGAAGAACTATGTCTATAAAAATGAATCCTGATACTCCTGAATGTTAGCCAATATGTAGAAAACTCAATCGTTTCATTTATGTAATTTCCATTTCTTCACATTTTATACTCTCAAGTCTGTGATTTTACTCAGCTTAGATTACATTAGATCATGTGATTCTAAAACTATAAAATTGTATAGCCTCAACTTTCTATCATTTTTATCTTATGATACTCTTAAAGACCTCAGAGCAGTATTTTTGTACATGAGATTAGGAGAACAGCTTCTGCCCTTTTGAGGCCTGGTGTAGTCCCAGAGGCCATGTTTTAGAGAGGATAGTCAAAATAGGAAACCTTAACTGTGGGCCTAGGTCATCCAGACGCTGCCTGCTCTGTTGTTTCAGTCAGATTGGCATTGGGGAAAGAAGAGGAAGCATAAAATGTGAGTTTACATGGCAGCACCAATTCAGCAGACCAGTGCAAGTGAGGTATATAGGTAAGATGTGGCATCTTAGGAATGTTCTTTGTCGGTCTTCTGAGAAGCTGCAAGGGCTCTTAGTTTGGTGTCCCTAGAAGCAGACCCCGAAATGATCATGTGTGTGAAAGTGACTTGTTAGAAAGTGTTTCCAGGAAAGATCAGTGGGGGAGCAGGCAGTGGGATAGAGAAGGAAAGGAAGCCCAGCAAAGGTGCTGTATGAAGCAGGTCCTGAAGAGAGTAACTTTGACTTAGTCCTGCAGGAAAGTCCTGGAGCCAGTGCAGATCATACTTCAGAGTGCTCCTGATGGATGGGGCAGGAAGCATTCTCACACCTGTCACTCACTGTTAAGGGCCACATCCAGAAGGACGTAAATTCCCAGGAACTTCTGGCTTTCCTTGCTCAGGTAGCTGGAAGGCAGTCCTCTGTCAGAGAGACCCAGGTATTGATTGTAGGCAGGGAAAGCACACTGGTATCCAAGGTGTACAAAAATGACAAAGGGGGCCGGGCACAGTGGCTTATGCCTGTAATCCCAGCACTTTGGGAGGCCGAGGCAGGTGGATCACCTGAGGTCAGGAGTTCGAGACCAACCTGGCCAACATAGTGAAACCCCGTCTCTACTAAAAATACAAAAAAATTGGTTGGGTGTGGTGGCAGGTGCCTGTAATCCCAGCTACTTGGGAGGCTTAGGCAGGAGAATCACTTGAACCTGGTAGGCGGAGGTTGCAGTGAGCCGAGTCCGTGCCATTGCACTCCAGCCTGGGCAACAAGAATGAAACTCCGTCTAAAAAGAAAAAAAAAGAGAGAAAGGGGTCTAAGGAGATAAGGAGGAAGCACTGACAGTGTCCACTATAAGGCCCAAGAAGCAATTTATGTGTTGGTTTTATGAAACGTATAGCCAAAAACATTCCACTGCAGTAAAATGCTCCAAAGGAGCTGATTTTAAAAAAACTCAATCCTGTAAAACACTTCAATAGTTATAAAACAAGGGATTACTTCTTTCAGGTATATAGCAAAAATATATTCTCCTTGAATGACATACATTTTGTTATATCTTGAAAAGGTGAAATGTTAACCCTAATTCTCTGTTAGGGAATTGAATGTTGACAGATAAACCAACTTTGAGTTGAAACCTAAACCAGCCAATGGTACGTAGATTCACCTTCTCTCCAGATCTGCATTTTCTGATATGAGATGATATAAGAACAAACCAAAAAAAATGAGATTTCAAGACAAAACTGTTAAGTGTATATATCAAAATACAAAGTTAACTCCCACCTACCCACTCTGCAGGAAAATACTAAGTAGCTAAAGAGAAGCACTGAAAACTCCTGAAACATGCTTACCTGATGATTCTTCCCTTGAGCACTTCAGTTCTAGTTCTAAATAGGGGATATTTAGGGGAGGGTATGAGAGGCTTTAGGGGATGATGGTGGTGGTAGACTTTCAGCATAATTTCTAAAATGTGTTATTTCCTTCACAGAGTTTACTATTTGTCTTCTAATTTCTAAAAATGTTTTGTGTTCCTTGATGGAAATGGTAGCATATTAGACTGTGTGCAAGTATGTGTGTGAATGTTCAATATTATAATAAGATGTATTATATTTGTGTAATTTATGCAATATCTTTATTCTAAAATGCCAAAGCATGTTATTGAAATAATCTTTTTCATGCTTAGCTAATTTTTGATGCAATTTCTAAATTTTATAGATTTATAGAAATTGAGAACAGTTACACAGCTTATCTTCATCACTAAAATGTTGTATTAACTACATTAATTGTGTAGTATGGACTAGATAATCATTTAAAAGAAAAATATACTTGTCTATTGCTTTTTAGTGATTTTTACTCTTGAAATTTTATCTTTTAGTAATAAAAGTTAAATTTTTCTTTTTAAAAAAATTTTAGTTATACATGGAATATCCCAGTTAAATGGACTGAAGATAATATAACAAGCAGTGTGTTATTTAATAGGTCAGAAAAAGAAGGTAAATATTATTAATTGATTTATTTCTTCTTTGAATTGATGTACCACATTAAACTAATATAAGTATAAAGATGCAACAGTAAAGCTGGAACTTATGTAAACTTCAGCTAAGTGATCTCTTAAATAATTTATTGATGATTCCAAATCTTCATCTACAATCAGAACTGTTATACCTTGAGATATTCTTTTCAATGATTTATCTTGACTGACTGATTTATCATAAATACCCATATCCAAAGGAGAAGGGTCGCATGCCCAACAATTGGAAGATCAATGTGTAAGTTTCCTTCCTTCCTTCCTTCCTTTTTGTTTTTTCTTTTATCAGATAAGCCATTGAATTTCTTTAACTGTTATATGACAAGCCTGAGGATTTTTTTAATGCTCCCATTAAATTAGACCATTTTTTGGAAATATATTTGTGTTCTATCTGCACTGATTTATTTTTTCCTTACTTGAAAAATGTTAGAGTTGTATAAAAACAAGTAAACCTTCTCACGAAATTCCAGATTGATGAAAAAAATAATAGATAAGGCAAGCTTTAGCTGCAATCTTGGAAAGAATCCTTCTTTTTATATTTTTTCCATTGTATTTGTTTTGGTGTTTCAAAACTATTTCTTTTCTAAGACAAACCAGACTCATCTTTGCCCCATTTCATGAGGACTTGATTTAGAATAGTATTTGGTATGGACTTTCACTTGTGTCTTCTTGAAGATAAAAGTAGATCACTCATTCTTTATTTACATATGCCTAGTTGCTCATGTAAAATATTTTAAAATATTAATGAGGTATGATTTCTCCTGGCCAATAAATTTTTACTCTGTTTCCAGTAGATTGCCTTTTAAGAACAGCTTTACTGAGATATAATTCACATACCATAAAATTCACCTATTTAAAGTGTACAATCCAGTGTTTTTTAGTGTATTCACAGATGTGTAATCATCACCACAGTCAGTTTTAGAAACCCCATACCCTTTAGCTGTCATGCCTGCAGCCTCCCATATGCCCAGCCCTAAGCAACCACTAATGTATTCCCTACCTCTATAGATTTGTCTCTTCTGGTCATTTCACATAAATAAAAGTGTATATGCAGTATTTTGTGACTTTTCAATTAGCATAACGATTTCAAGGCTCATCCATGATATAGCATGTAACTCTACTTCATTCCTTTTTATTGCCAAATCATATCCCATTATATGGATATACCACCATTTGTTTATCCATTTATCAGTTGATAGATATTTGGATCATTTCCACCTTTTGTCTGTTATGAATAATGCTGCTATAAACATTTGTGTATAAGTTTTTCTGTGGATCCAGCATGTTTTTTCCACCTTTGGGCCTTTTAAAAAAAAACGTTTATTGTTAACAGTTTTTGTGATTTTTTTTTACTATTACTACAAACTACCAGCTTTGTCATTATAGAGGTGAAATCCTTCTGAAGCCCTTCTGCACAGGGATTGCTATTACAACAAAACTCTCTCTTGCTTATTTATGTTAATAATTATTGTAATATCGTGATCAAAAAAAATTCTAAATTTTTGCAGAATTCCCAGATCAATGCCACTTTGTTTTAGTATTTTATGCTGTGTTTCAATGCGAGGCTCTATCTTTTGTGGTCTTCTGACCATTTTCTTATTCATAAGTACACTTGCCAGAGGAAAAGGGAGAAGACAGAAAAAAAAAAGACATTTTCAACAATGTGTAACAGCACTGGTAAAAGACATAATAAGAACGTTAGAATTCCACTGGAAGGTTTTCAGTGGATTTGGTTTAACTATTACTAAATATTTTCCCCATTGGTCACCATAGTTAATTGAGGATTGGAAGAATATCTCGGCAGCTGTTTGATTTACTGTTTACAAGTTTGAAAGCGTGAATAATTCATCTACCCTAGTACAATTCACCCAGCACTTTCATGGAATGAAGTTTCCATACAAGTGAATTTTCCAGATAACTAAAGCTTACTCAAGTGCTTTGTAAAATGCATTTCAAGAGTTCACAATAGACATTGTTCTAATATGTGTTATGTACTCCTTAGAATATTTGGAATAATAAATTTAATCCTTAATTACTAGATTAATTCTTTCAAGCACGTATTGCTTATGTGCAAAACACAGAGATAAGAATGGGGGCAGTGCTGGAGCAAAAAAAAAAAAAAAAAGCAATCCTAACCCTTGTGTAGATGGTTGTCTAGGGATGGGTTTGCAGGCAGACATAATGCTGTGTCCTAAGTGCCTCTGTGGCAATGCAGATCACCAAAAGCACTCATAGAAGCATCAGCCCAGGTTTGGGGGTTCAGGAAGCATTCCTAAAAAATATCTAGGCTGAGAGTTCAGAGGCTAAGGATAGAGTATAAATGGGTGATAAAAATTGAATGTAGAGGAGACGTGTGCTCTGGACAGAAGCATGACTGTGAAAGTGAAAGAGCAGGGAGTTCTCACACTCCTTCGTATCCCTTTGTCAATACATTTCACACATTTTTTTGTTCTAACTATTGACCTATCTATGTCTCCCCTCCCCACAGAATATTCTTAGAGGAAATGGAGCTTATTTGTTATTGTTGTTCTGGATCTACAGCAGGCATCTAATAATTGTTTATTGAATAAATGAATGAATAAACAAATAAATGAAGAGGCTGATAGTTACAGAGCTTTGATGACAAATCTGCCTTTATCTGAAACTTCAGAATCATGTCTGGTCACTGAGCCAGAAGCAAACTAGAGGTCTTTTTCTACTTCAAAGTGTCTGCTCCATTTTTAGGCTGTACAATAAGTTCCTGTTTCCTGTTTAAGGACATCTTCAGCTCTCAGCTTAGAGCACGGATGACGAACATGTCCTGAGTGTACTAAATGGGCAACCAGCTCATGTTACCAGTCCTACCTCCCTCCTCTTGGTTTCTTTGATGATTCATTAGTTAGAAATTCTTCAGGCAATAGTGGGACTCTCCCCAAGGTCTTTTATTTACATTTCTATTGTATGTGCTATTTTAGGCGTTAAAACAACAACTAAACTCATAATTTCTAATGAAAGAAGAGAACCTCTATTATAAAACATTTTCTGGCTACTCCAGTTACCCTGAATAATCTCTCCTGTCATCATCTCCTGTCATAAAATATAGTATATTTTATCCTGTCACTTTCATCAGCCCTTATTCCTAGTATTATTACTTTATATTTTAAACAAAATCATTGTTATTAAGCTTCATATGTTCTCTCTTTTCGTTGTTTCTTTTTTTTTTTTTTTTTTTTGGGACAGAGTTTTGTTCTTGTTGCCCAGGCCGGAGTGCAGTGGAGCGATCTCAGCTCATTGCAACGTCCGCCCCCTGGGTTCAAGTGATTCTCCTGCCTCAGCCTCCCATGTAGCTGGGATTACAGGTGCCTGCCACCTCAGCTGGATATTTTTTTGTATTTTTAGTAAGGATGGGGTTTCACAATGTTGGCCAGGCTGGTCTTGAACTCCAGACCTCAGGTGATCTACCTGCCTCAGCCTCCCAAAGTGCTGGGATTATAGGCATGAGCCACCGCGCCTGGCCTCTCTTTTTTTTTTCTCAACTAAATTATAAGCTTCTTGATGACACAAACTACACATATTTCTTGTCTCCTGTCCACCCTATTATCAACAAGGTGCTACGTACATTCTGAGTTCAGAAAGTCCTAGTTTAATGAAGGGTTGTTTGCCCCAGAATGCTGTACTTTTAGAGGTTAACTGCATATATTTTAGTTATGTCTCCATCTTTTAGTATCAGCTGCTATTTTGGCTATTGTTAATGCATCCACATTTAGTAGCATACCACCTGTTTGCATTTAATTTACTGCTTTCTAACATTTAGAAGGATTGAAGGTTGTTATATGGTGTCAGGTAACCAATCTTGCTAAAACATAATATTTTAAAAGAGACATTTCTAAGTGCATAGGATCTGGGCTGGGTCTAAGTTCTAGGAGGTGGTGCGGACTCTACAATAGCTGTTTTTGCAACTCTTACTTCCAGATTTGAGGGTGTCCTCTGGATGGTTTGGACTATCCAGACTGTCCAGTCAGTTTCTATAGAAATAGATTTACTAAACATCTGTGATAATTATACATAAATATTTAATACCAAAATAATGATGGGCATGTATTTTTGTATTTGATGACAAAGAGGGAAGCACTTTCTTCATTTTTTCAAGCTAAGCCTCATGGAATGTGCAAGCTTTGATTGGATGATTATGGGTTCAGTTTTGCTGGTTTAGAAACTCAATTTGTCAGTTCAGCCCTAGTCAACCAAGTCTTGGAAGATCTACTTATCTAAACCAAACATACAAGAGATTAACTAAGAATGCTAACTTGTTAATTTACACAGTTAAAATATACTAGTTAGTGAATCTGAATACTCATGTCACCTAATTAGGTATCTCTTTCCAGGAAGCAAGTTACTTAGTAAGAATTAAAGGGCTGGGCGCGGTGGCTCACGCCTGTAATCCCAACACTTTGGGAGGCCAAGGCAGGTGGATCGCCTGAGGTCGGGAGTTCGAGACCAGCCTGACCAACATAGAGAAACACCGTCTCTACTGAAAAAATACAAAGTTAGCCAGGCATAGCCATCAACACTGAGGCAAGACCCTCTATCAGTAAAAAAGATTACAACTGGCTGAAGGCTCAGATGATTGTTAGCATTTTTAGTAATAAATTATTTTAGTTAACATATATACTTTTTTATACATAGCTGCCTGTAATGCCAGCTACTCGGGAGGCTGAAGCAGGAGAATTGCTTGAACCCGGGAGGCGGAGGTTGTAGTGAGCCGAGATTGCACCATTGCACTCCAACTTGGGCAACAAGAGTGAAACTCTGTCTCAAAAAAAAAAAAAAAAAAAAAAAAAAGAATTAAGGAAGAGTTAAGGTAGATTAATTATTTTACAGATGTCTTTAAATTGTGATAGTGTGATATATTGCATTAGCCAGGTGAGTCTAATTATTGCACTTTAGAAACAATCAATAGTGGTTTGGTGCAATAAAAGTTTCTTGTTCATGCAACAGTCTAAAGGAGATATTCCTGACTGTCATCTTTCCTAGGTGGCTCTCCACCAAATAATGACTTGGAAATCCTGTCTTCTTCCTTCTTATGGCTTTACCATCCCCTGCATCTTGGAATCCCTCACTGGTTCTTTTGCATCTAGCTCAAAGACAGGGGAAGATAATGAAGGAATCAGGCCTAGAAGTGCATCTATTACTTCTGCCCACATTTTATAGCCAGTTCTCAAATCATGTCCTGCAAGGAAGGCTAACATAGTCCAATTCTGTACCCAGGAAGAAAAGGGAACTGTGTGGTAAACAACTAGTAGGTCTCTGTCACATACACTGTTTTCTGTAGGACCAGACCTGTCAAATAGCCTGAAACACATGTTCCAGCTCAATTTGGCACCTACTTCCATGGGCACACTGGAGACACATTGACAGATCTTCACTACCCAACTCTCCTTTGCAGTTATTTTTTTTCAACTACCAAAATTATTGCTAATTGTAATCTTTCCTCATGATAATTGGGTTGCATTTTTCCAGTTTCCTATTCATTGCATGTTACATATTAAAGCCACAGGCATACCTGAGAGATACTGCAGTTTTGGTGCCAAGCCACGCAATAAAGCAAATATCACAATTAAGTGAGTCCATGAGTTTTTTGGTTTCCCAGTGCATATACAAGTGATGTTTACACTATACTGCAGTCTACTAAGTGTGCAATTGCCTTATGTGTAAAAAAGTATATATGTTAACTAAAATAATTTATTGCTAAAAATGCTAACAATCATCTAAGTCTTCAGCGAGTTGTAATCTTTTTTACTGATAAAGGGTCTTGCCTCAGTGTTGATGGCTGCTAGCTAATTAGGGTGGTGGTTGCTAAAGACTTGGGTGGCTGTGGCAATTTCTTAAAATAAGACAACACTGAAGTTTGGTGCATTAATTGACCCTTCCTTTCACAAAAGGTTTCTTTGAAGCATGCGATGCTGTTTAATAGAATTTTACCCACAGTAGAACTTCTCCAAAACCCTGGTGCTGCTTTCTCAATTAAGTTTATGGAATATTTTTAATCCTTTTTTGTCATTTCAAGATGCTCACAGCATCTTCACCAGGAGTAGATTCCATCTCAAGAAACCGCTTTCTTTGCTCACCCATAAGAAGCAACTCCTCACCTATTCAAGTTTTATCATGAGATAGCAACAATTCAGATACATCTTCAGGGTTCACTTCTAATTCTAGCTCTCTTGCTATTTTCACCACTCTGCAGTTACATCCTCCATATAGGTCTTGAACACCTCAAAGTCATTCCTGACGGTTGCAATCAATTTCTTCCAAACTCCTGTTAATGTTGATATTTTGACCTCCTCTTATGAATCATGAATGTTCTTAATGGCTTCTAGAATGGTGAATGCTTTCCAGAAGGTTTCTAATGTACCTTGTCCAGATCCATCAAAGGAATCATTATCTATGACAGCTATCACCTTACAAAATGTATTTCTTAAATAACAAGACTTGAAAGTCATTCCTTGATCCATGGGCTTCAGAATAGATACTGTGTTAGCAGCTGTGAAAACATTAATCTGCTTGTACATTTCCATAAGAGCTCATGGATGACCAGGCACACTGTCAATAAGCAGTACTATTTTGAAAGGAATCTTTTTTGGTGAGCAGCAGGTCTCAACAATGGGCATAAAATATTCAGTAAACCATTCTATTAACAGACGTGCCGTCACCCAGGCTTTGTTGTTCCATTTATAGAGCACATGCAGAGTAGATTTAGCATAATTCTTAAGGGCCTTAGGATTTTTGGAATGGTAAATGAGTATTGGCTTTAATTTAAAGTTACCAGCTGCATCCACCCCTAATGAGAGAGTCAACCTGTCCTTTGAAGATTTAAAGCCAGGCATTGACTTCTCTCTAGCTGTGAAAGTCCTTGATGGCATCTTCTTCTAATATAAAGCTGTTTCATCTACACTGAAAATGTTTTTTAGTGTAGCTGCCTTCAAAAATGATCTTAGTTAGATCTTCTTATTAACTTGCTTTAACTTCTATATCAACACTTGCTGCTTCACCTTGAACTTTTATGTTTGGAGATGGCTTCTTTCCTTAAACCTCAAGAACCAACCTTTGCTAGCTTCCAGCTTTTCTTCTGTAGCTTCCTCACCTCTCTCAGGCTTCACAGAATTGAAGAGAGTTAGGGTCCTTCTCTGGATTAGGCTTTGGATTAAGGGAATGTTGTGGTTAGTTTGGCCATCTATCCGGAGAGCTAGAACTTTCTCCATATCAGCAATACAGATGTTTCTCTTTCTTATCATTCATGTGTTCACTGGAGTAGGACTTTTAATTTCCTTCAAGGACTTTTTCTTTATGTTTAGAACTTGGCTAACTGTGTGGTACAAGAGGCCTGGCTTTCAGCCTGTCTCAGCTTTTGACATACTTACCTTACTAAGCTTAATCATTTCTATATTTTAATTTAAAGTGAGAGATGTTTAACTCTTACTTTCATCTGAACACTTGAGGCCATTGAAGAATGATTGATTGGGCTAATATCGATATGGCTGTGTCTAAAAGAATAGGGAGTCCCAAGGGGAAGGAGAGAGAAAGAGAGAGAGAGAGAGAGAAAGAGAAAGATAAAAAGAGAGACAGGGGAATGGCCAGCTGGTGGAGCAGTCATAACACACACAACACTTACCGATTAAGTTCTCACCTATATGGGTGTGGTTCGTGGCTCCCCAAAACAATTGCAATAGTAAAATCAAAAATCTCTGATCACAGATCACCCTAACAGATATAATAATAATGAAAAAGTTTGAAATATTGCAAGAATGATCAAAATGTAACCTAGAGACATGAAGTGAGCACATGTTGTTCGAAAAATGGTGCTGATAGACTGGCTTTGCTACAAACCTTCAATTTGTAAAAAATGCAGTATCTGCAAAGTGCAATAAAGTGACTTCTCTCTAGCGCAATAAAGTAAGGTATGCTTGTACACCTTTCTTTACAGGCAGATTCTCTAGGCCACTTGCTGAGATTTAGAATGGACCCTGTAATTATTACTAAAACAATGACTAATACTTTCTTGAATGGGTAATTTGTTGAAAGCATTACCATAAATGGATAACCAATCCATTTTATTATGGATCATGTTAGCTTTAGTTTCAGAAATTAAAATTTTCTTCTATGACCCCAAAGTCTAATAATGCATTCTACTTGAAACTTTTAGCTCTTCAAATATATTTTGCATGTCATTAGTTAAAAAGCATTACTCGTGTCTTTCAGTTGTTTTTTTTGCTTTCTTAAATAAATTGAGATGGGGGTCTTGCTATGTTGACCAGGCTGGTCTCAAACTGGTCTCAAGCAGTCCTCCTATCTTGGCCTCCCAAAGTGCTGGGATTACAAGTGTGAGTCACCGTGCCCGGCCTCAGCTCTTTTACTATCAAATGATACACAAAATTTAATAAGAGGTAAACTCTGTAATTTTACATTGAAAAATAATTCACTTAAAGGATTAGTGCAACACAGCATTCATATCATCACCTAAGAAAAATGTTTTTTTCTCTAGGAATCTCAGGCTATCATAAGCTGTCTACTTGTCTAAAATTTTTTATAATTATTTATAATAGATAGTAACATTAAAGAACTGTTACCTGTGCTCTGTTACTGAAATCTATCAGGGTTGAAATTAAAGAGGCTCTCGATGAAATTTTGAAAAGGTAATTATCGCTTTTCTCTATCATCTAGGCAAATAATAAAAGAAAAAAGTAAGAATTTTCTAGAAAGAGCTCCTACTCAGAAATAACTCATTCAATACTTTTTGGCATAGATAGAACTAATAAGAAACAGAATAAAACAATTTTTAAGTTGATACAGCATGATATGTCCATTAAACTTAGATTTCCAAATATATAAAATGAAATTGCAAGGTGTTTAAAATATAATTTCAAATGAAAAAGGATTGCTAATCATAAAAACAGTAGGGTCCCATTATATTTGTTGTGTGTTTGTGCATGTGTGCATATAGAAGATACACACACACACACAACAGGTAAAAAACATGTTAACTGTGGTGGGTAATTTTTATATTCTTCTTTATACTTTTTTGCATTTTCCAAGTGCTCCATAAAGAATACATACTATTGTTATAATCAGAAAAAAAATAGTAAATGGAGTAACAGAAGGAAACATACAGTATATTAGTCCTGTATTTTAATCTTACTAGAGTATTTTAGTTCTACTCATTATGTAACTAAACAACTGAACAGTATTTTGCTATTGACAACTGTTCCAAAAGTAGCATGAACTTGGAAAGTCCTTAACTACTGACTTCCTGGATCTCAGCTTCCTCATCTATAAAGTGAGAAAAATCACAGTAACTCTAGACAGGCTTAACTAGGTACATATAAAGCACACTAAAATATGGCAGTATTTAGATGGATTGCCAGGAACTTCTCAACGTTATTTATATTTGCTTCGCTATTTATAGAACTGGCAGCATATCCCCTTTCATTATAATGGGGATAGCTACCATCTGTTGGATACGTAGCACATAACTATGTGACCAACACTTTACCTATGTTATCTTATTTAATCTTCACAACAGCCCTGTGAGGGATTTTTGTCCCTGTCTTCCTTGGGGTGAACTGGGACACAGAGGGGTCAAGTGATCTGGCCAAGGTCACACAGCTAGTAAGTCACAGAGCAAGGTTTTTATCCTAGGTCTGTGAGACTCAAAAGTTCATGCTCTTTCTCCTGTAACATATGGCTTTATGCTTAGCAAGAAACTCTCCTTCTGATACAAACATTCAAAATGTACAGATGCCAAAAGATTAGCTTCCTTTCAACAACTTGTCCATGGGAGGATGACAAAGAAAGAGAAATTCTACATGAGTGAGGTAAGGGTTTATAATTTATCAATTACCTACTCCGAAAGTTCCTAAAGAAACTTATTGTCTTGTTGGAGAGGTTACTCATATATTATGAAAAACTACTGTGTCCTGGATATCTTCCAGACCTTGCAAACACTTCCAAAATTTAAATCATATTTCCTCCCAAACTGACTCACCTTCCTCTATTCTCTACTGGCAGCACCATTATTCATCCAGTTGTGCAATCCATTTTCCCCTCCTCTGACTGTCCACATCAAGTCAGAAAAAGGATTTTATTGATTTTACCTGTGATAAGTCTCTTGAATGCATCAACTTCTTTCTAGTTTCATCATCTCCACATTAGTGTAAGCCCTCATCCTCTATTGCCCTACATGACTACAGTGGACTCTAAATTAGTCTTCTTGTCGCTAGAATCGCCTCCAAAATATCTCCCATACCACTATTGAAATCTTTCCAGAAAATAGACTTGAGCATGCTATTTTTCTGCTTAAAACTCTTTTCCCCTCTCATAAGATGGATTCTTAACATGGCATGTGGCTCTTCATACTGGAGGCCAGGCTTTTATTTCCAGCATCATCTCCTATTTTTCAATATCACAACCTACATTGTTGGTACCTTAAAATATTTGAAACTTCTCAACTATACTATGTTCCTATACCATTATTTAAATTGTATATTGTTCATGTAAACAAAAGAGTGTATGATGTATGAACTGAAAAATATAGGAGTAACGCTAACGAACATGGTTATATCAAAGCATAGCTATTATTTTAAGTACATATCTTTTACCTAAAACATAAGTCTCTGCTCCTTCAGCCTTGGGCTTCTAAAATCTATACAATAGAGCCTCACATATATATGGATGTTGTTTTAGAAAGAATGCTAATTTGATAAATCCATTGATGGAAAAGTATTGTTGTAACCAACTGAAATAGGAAGTAGACGGCTTTACAAAGATAAATAAATTGGAAGAACAAGTGTGAAGTCGATTACAAAATCAAGAACGTTTCATTCAGATCTCAATTCTATTGCAGGTCTTCTTGATACAGTAACATTTTAAAAGTGTTGCTGATTATCAATGTATTATCCTGCTTAGTGATAGCCATTTCCATCAACTTCAATGTTGATTTTAATAAACAAAGTATTATTTTGAGTATTTACATTTGTATCCCCTCCCCAGGCTGCCCTGGTGAATATTGTTTGTGTAATCAATCCATTATGATTAGGGATCTATGGACTACCCCTGAAGGCATGGACTTCTCTGTCTCGAGGCACTGTTTTCTTTTATTGATGGATTGACCAGCACGAAATTATTTCGCCCATTTGACAAGCTTCTGCCAGTAAAAACTATCCATCATAAATTACAGTATAATTATTTATATTACTTATTTCTTTTTTAGCTCACTCATTATAGTGGTATTCTAAAGTTAGACAACTAAGTAAAAATTAGGCTTTGGGTTTTGGATCCAAATCAAACCTGCCTCCTTGAGCTAATATTTCTTTTCTTTTATTTTCTTTTTGCCCTCTGGGTCTAATTTCTCTGTGTTGACAGTGCATGCAAACATGTTGCTCATTAGTGTTTATTTACTACTACAGGAATCACTTTGAACTCCTCTAATCCTAGTGGAAATGCTTTTCTCAAAATAAACCCAGATCATATTGGGTTTTATCGTGTAAATTATGAAGTAGCAACTTGGGACTCGATAGCTACAGCGCTCTCCTTGAACCACAAGGTAAGAGATAGCAATGGTTGGAAACTTTTATTTTTGTTCTAAGAACAGCATCTTAATGATATTAATTTTTTTCAACATGCTTTGCCTTAAGAATTGTGTTTTTATCTCTCTTTCTCCCTCTTCCCAGACATTTTCTTCAGCAGATCGTGCAAGTCTTATTGATGATGCTTTTGCCTTGGCAAGGTGCGTTTTAGAATGAGACTAAATTACTTAAAATACTGTGGGTTTTCTCATAAATCTTTTAAAAATGAATTAAACATTGCAGTATTAATCAATTTTAGCTTAAAATATCCAAAGCCACTATTTAAAACATTATTGTTTTCCTTAACTCTCTTTTCAAAAGTTCACATGAGCCTAATAGTCAAAATACTGACATTAGCCCTTAAGGTATACACAAAAACAAACCTAACTTATTGACTTTGAGTATGGTTTGTCTATATCAGGATCCTTGAGCTAATTAGAAGTGACATTTGCAAATGATCAAAAATGTACCTTCATAATTTGATTTAATATAAAGACAAACAATGTATTTTATTAATTCAGTTCTGTGAGCCCGAGCCCAGTGTAAGATTTTATGGCTAGAATTGTCAAATCTTGTTCAGGTCACTGGGGTAAGAAGAATGAGCTATGGTGCTTTAGAACTGATCAGAATTAGGGGACCATTTGGAAAATTTGACTCTTTTTCTCATAGTCTGAAGGTAACCTGCTCTTTAGAAAAAGTGTAGATTGGAAGAACTAAGTAGTATCCATGGTACCTCTATTTTTTTTTTAATTCACATAGTCTAACACCAGTAATTTAACAAGCATTTATTGAGTTCCTGGCACTTTGCAGAAGCTGAGGACACAGCCAATTTTATTTCTCTGGCTTTGTAGTCGCCTCATTCTAGATATGAGCAATGTGCTAAGAATGAGGAGCCACTTCCCTCAGTAGCCTCCCATGGCCTCTTTCTCTGGGTTGGGTATCCTTCTTATGGGACCCTATATTTCCTCATAATATTTTATTGTTATTGTTTATTAATTGTGCATTTCACCCATCAAACTGAAGGTTCATGAGGGTAGGCACCCAAACCCAGCTCCTGACTGTACGTTGCCAATAACAGTTGATAATAAATACTGACTAAATAGAGAGGTGGAAGAATAGTATAGTAGTACTAAAGGCATGGGGAAACTATTTTACACAGAGTTCCTAGATAGTATATTAAAAGTCAGAAAACCTTGACATATTTCAAGGAAGGAATTATGGGGTTCGAAAACAGGCTCTTGAACCCCATTAAAATCCTGGTTCCATATAGTCTTAAGTAAGTCTCTTAACTTCTCTCTGGCTCAATTTTCTTATCACCAAGGTAGAGATGACCTTATAAGACTTCTGTGAGGAATAAATGAGATAATGGACATAAAACACTTAAAAGATTATCTGGCATGTAGAAACTCAATACATTGTATTACATGACCAAAATGCATCCACCGTTAATTAGTAGTGAAGATGCGTTTAGAAGAGCTCTTCTGAATTTGTAATCTACACTCGTTTTGTAGCTAATAGAAAATATGATGTTCTAGTGAATCTCCAAGTTTAACCTCCTGGATATGTAATAGATTATTTTCACTATATTACAGTATACCACTCACTCATTTAATAAATAAACATTGGCGACTTACTATGTGCCAGGCACTGTGTAGAATAGAATCTGGGAAATTAAATGATGAAATAAGATGATCAATAAGTATTTTTAAACAGAATCATTTAGTTTTTATTTTTAAATTGTCCTGTTCCAAAGCTCAGCTTCTTCACTGTTAGAAATTACAAAGAACTGTACTATCTCTACAGTTTAATTTGCACCACAATGTAGGAGGTCCTTTCTATTCCAAGATGAAGTGAAAGAAAGCCTCTTGAACAGC
This sequence comes from Homo sapiens, assembly GCF_000001405.40. Classification (NCBI taxonomy): domain Eukaryota; kingdom Metazoa; phylum Chordata; class Mammalia; order Primates; family Hominidae; genus Homo; species Homo sapiens. The sequence continues at coordinate 110,544,784 of NC_000004.12, forward strand.
TCTCTCTGAGGAACTGAGTATAAAGCAAATAACTTACACTACTGAAAGACTTGCTCACATTTGCTCAGCTCCTTGGCCACAGCCCCATAAAATTGTGAAGAGCTGTGGAGAGGAAGAAAATGAAACAAATTTGAAATTCAAAACATATGTAGGATCACACAAGAGAGCTAGAAAATACCTGTGCTATCACCTGGCTCAATGAGGTTCTGCAGCACATGAGGAAAATGGGACTCGGAGAGAAACAGATTCAACGAGCATTGGTTAGAGCCAAGAGGGCAGCTTCAAAGACCACATAAGCTAAGACCATTATGAAACTTTGGTGGAGGGGGTGGAAGAGAGAAGAAATGCGTAGTTAAATAGGTGAGCAACTGTGGCAGGATTAGAATTTAAACAAGTCTACTGAGGTATTCAAAGGAATGTAGTAACCATTATATTTAATAATCAGAACTAAATGATACATCTGAAAATAAATGAATTTTTTATTCCCCTGTCTCTTCCAACTTGATGTGAAGAGGTAGTACTCCTACTGCCCTGGCTGGGCATATGACTCTTTTCAAGGTAAGAAATTTACCCATCACCACTAGTTCATCCAAACCCTCTCAATTCCATAATTTTCTCAGTCAAGTAAAATCATCAAAGCTTTCTACTTCATTTAAAGCTTCTCCCTGCCCCCAGCTTAGGCCAGGTTCAGGCCAGTCACCTGCAATGGGAATGGGGTGATTGATTTCCTCTTCGTTTCTCTGCTTGGAACTTCTATGTCTCCCGAGTCACCGTGCTGCCTCTGGTTTCTCCAAAGTTAAGGCAAAGAGAACAGGGTGGGAGAGTAGGTGAGAGGGAGAAAAATCCTGATGTGCTGCCTACTTTTGGTCCTCTCTGAACTTTGTTGATGTTTAATGCTGATTTTTTTCCTTGTGTTGTGTTTTTATGGGATTTTTGTTACCCATATCCATTCCATTGAGAAGGATCTTTCTCCTGCAGTTTCCTTGAGGTGGGCAGGTGGACACTTCTGACCCACTTCTGGTCCATAGGAGGTTGTCATGTATGCTTTGTCCTGACAATATTTGGAAGAACAGGCCACCCCATGCAGTCCCATCTCTTCACTCTGAGGCCAGAGCAGCAGCCAAATAGCCTCTCATCTTTTAGATTTCTCAGGGTGTCAGACACCAAGCCACGGTGCCTCCAAGTTCCAGGAGACACAGGTAAACCTCTTCAAGTGGTCCCACTGAAACCTCTCTCCTGAGTCTTAATTAGACAGAAAAACATCTGGTGCCCTAGCCCTTGGAGGGGAGAGCATTTACAGTGTACTCAGTATACTGACAGCACTCTTTGAAAGGCCTCCACTAAAATGTCTCACCTTAGTTTCTCCAACCTCTTTTATAGGCTGGTGGTGGGCTATCAGCAAAGAGCCACACAGTCTTGTTCTTGACCATGTTAGTCCTGCTTTGGGGTCCTGCGTCTTTCTTTGGAGCATTGGAGCATAGGACTTAGTCTTGGGGCCTTGCCAAAACAGACACAGAAATAATTCTTCCCCCCACCCCGCCCCCTGCTTGCTACAATAGTTTTTGTTGTTTTTTGTTTTCTGTTTGCAATTACTTTATATTGTCCTCTTCAGCCCACTTCTTGCTACAGCCAGGAGAGGGTGGGTAATAACATAAGGGAAAGCAGAGTATGCTGGCTGACAAGGCTGCGTGGGGGCAGGAGTCACTAGGTAAGGGACGAATGGCAAAGAGAACAGCTGAAAGGACCACCTAAGCTAATGATCTAAGCAGAATTTCAGCCAGGTTTCAAGGACCACTGGCTCCAAGGATATGCAAGGTAATGGCCACGTTAGCAAATAAGAACCAGCAGGTGAACATCAGTCAAGCCAAAATCATGGACCTTAGATACAAACATTTTTGTAAGTGTTTGCAGAGATGACCAGAGAACAACACAGAACTCTATAAGCAACTTTTCCCATCCTCTCATGGACTTCCCTTAAAGGAAGTGAGAAGATGGGGAATGGGAAAAGAATCCAAAGGTGATTTAGTTAATTGCAAAATGACTGTTTTAAGCCAGAAACCTGAATTTAATTGGCAAGTTCAGTTGAGTGACTAGACAGCTGGGAACTTTATGCCCTTCACACCACCTGAAAAACTAGCCAAAGAACCCAAGCACATGGGGTCAGTTTTACTCCCCCAGGTACCTCTCAACAATTTTTATTGTCCCTTTAGGGAGCCATGTTTGACAAGACACTATACTTAACTACTTAACTCAGGCTTCTCTAAGCAGGACTGTGCAGTCTTTCCAAATTACACTCAGGAAAACAAAAAACAAACCTTCTGCTGTAAGAGTCCCCCAACCTTCCTAGGTGCCTTAGCTCAATATAGAAGAGCAAGAATGCTCTCATATGACCTTTGTCCTCTTCTTCATTTTATTTGGTGGAAATTTTAAGCTATAGCTTCCAACCTCTCTACACTATAGAATATAGTAAACTTCTATAATTTAAGTCCCCCAGGCTGGGCTCTCACTATATAAACAGAATATTTTTGAACAAAGAAAATTCTCAATCAAGTCTGGCCTTCAGAATTGCTGTTTGTCTATGGACTTAAATGGAGTTTGAGACCCAAAGTTGAGTAAGAATGCTAGCAGTCTTGAGTTGAGTTCCCTAGACGTAGAGTCAGAAATAGAGGTTCTTGTACTAGTGGTTTCTTGAGAGAGTAATTTCATGAGACAGGGAATACAAAAAACAGGACAGGGAAGTGGGGAAAGCTGAGCTGATTTCAAAAGGTTCTAAAATTCTTTTGAAAGGGGAAGAAAGTGGATTCTTTAACCTTTAAAATATCAACAGTGTCTTCAAATTTTCTAGAAGAGAAAAATTTACTTTTTTAATGAATATTACTGGGAAATGTATAAGAAGATGTTATAAAGGACAATAAAAGTTCAATTTGAATGTTTTAAGCATTCAGGATTAATAAGAACTGTTACTTATATTTCTTCTTCATAAGCAAATGTAAATAATTTCAACAAAATACATTTATAGTAGTGCCTTTATGTGTTAAAATCCACTTGGGAACCTAAAATTTAAAAGTTTCTATTTGTCAATATTAACTGTACAGCTAAATGGCTTTTGTTTTATTTGAAATTTTGCTGTTGTGCTTTTTCAAATGTACATCTTAATGCCTTTCTTCCTCCTTACTATTGAATGTATGAAAGCCCTACTGTATAATTTCGGACAAAACTTTTTGATTGGGCTTCAACCAATAAATGCAATTTCTTGATTGTTGAATGGAAGAATCCTCATTAACATGGAATGCTTTGATCGCCAAAACTTTCAGTTAAATGGAAACTAAAGTCTGTGGTTTTTAATTAACTGTGAGTTTTTTTTTTTTTTTTTTTTTTTTTGTCTTTCTCAGAGCTCAACTTCTAGATTATAAGGTGGCTTTGAACTTGACCAAGTATCTCAAAAGGGAAGAGAATTTTTTACCATGGCAGAGAGTAATTTCAGCTGTAACCTACATCATTAGCATGTTTGAAGATGATAAAGAGCTATATCCTATGATTGAGGTGACGTTAATGCTATGGTATCTTATGAAAGTAAATGTTTAGCCATTAGTAGAATAGGATGCTTTCTGAGAGAAGGAGCTCTTGGGGACCTAAACCATGTTTGCTTGCCAGGTGGAATCAAAAGAAAGTGCAATGACTTGACTAATCAAAGCAAAGCTATGCCGTCTATTCTTTTTCAATTTGAAGTACATCAGAATTTGTTGTTCTGCATACATACCACTTAGGTGCATTTTAGTGTTAGAAGAAATACAACAATTAATATTTTACTTAAAATATACAACATTTTAAACAATAAATACTAATTAGATCTTTTTTAAAATGGACTTTATCTATGTTAAAGTGAATTATTCTTCTAAAATATAATATTATATCTTCTTATTCTTACTGCTGGTATTTCCACATTGAGATTTTATCATATGTAGTCATTCTAAATACCGTTTCTTTGCTTTGTGATTTCTGTAGCACGTAAGTAGGACACTTGTAATTTTAGACAAATTCTGGATTCAAATCTCTAGCTCTTCTATTTACAAAATGAAAGATCTTGAACAAATGATTTAACATTTGTGAGTCTTAATTTCCTTTGTACATTAGGAATGCCAGCACTTGCCTGCTTACGGTAATGGGATTGTGAGGATCAAATAATATGAAAGTGCTTTGTAAAACCTAAAGCAATATCAGTTATTTTTATTATTTCATATATGCTTAAACAATCTTAGTGCAGAAAGTAGGTTGAGTGTTTTCCTATTTATTACATATGTTAACTAAGAAATAGGGGTTAAAAGGGCCTTACCCAAAGTTTTATAAAACATTACAGGAAGGTCCGGGATGGTTTATATTTTCAGGATTGAAAAAAATTGCAATGTGATAAAAATTAAATACATTGTTTTTCTAAGGACAAGCGCAAAGTTCTCTGAATTAGTAGGAAAACAGATTATAACAGGGGCTGCTGAGTATAATAATTGGGATACTACTGATATGTAGTAAATTGTTACTTATTGTACATAATACTTTTATTTCAGGAATACTTCCAAGGTCAAGTGAAGCCTATTGCAGATTCTCTGGGATGGAATGATGCTGGAGACCATGTCACAAAGTTATTCTCACTTTTTAACAACTAAAATTCATTTAACATTTGTTTTTTGTTTTAAGACTTGTTGAAAAGTGCTTAAGGCCCTGGATTTGTGTTTGTTTGTTTTTTAAGGTTACTCCGTTCCTCCGTGTTAGGGTTTGCGTGCAAGATGGGAGACAGAGAAGCCTTGAACAATGCTTCCTCGTTATTTGAGCAGTGGCTAAATGGGACTGTAAGGTGATTACTCACATTGTTATGCTTAGAAGACACATTTGAGAAAAGAGTAGTTGAAATCTCTGAAACACTGTTTCTTCTTCTAGCCTTCCCGTAAATCTCAGGCTTCTGGTGTATCGGTATGGGATGCAGAACTCTGGCAATGAGATTTCATGGAACTACACTCTTGAGCAATACCAGAAAACTTCATTAGCTCAAGAAAAAGAAAAACTGCTGTATGGATTAGCATCAGTGAAGAACGTTACTCTTTTGTCAAGGTAAGTTGGGCTTTTATTTCACATATATAAATAGTATTTAATAGTTTATGTGTCACAGTCTCTTTAAGAGTCTGATTAAAGTATGATGTTTTGTTTCCAAAAAAATCCATTAAAAGTTATTTTCCCTGCAAGAAACAAAATATCCATGTAAGACTGGCCTAAACAATAAGGAAATGTAATCTCATATGAACACATTCTGGAGGTAGGTAGCTTCCAGTTGTGTGCAGCGGCTCAACATTTTCACCCAGGACCCAGGCTCTTCTCTTTCTGATTTTCAATGATCGACATGTTGGATGTCTCATGACTTCCAGAGCTTGAAACATTTTGTTTTTACACAAACATGTGTAATGGAGGTAGGACAGGAGCAAAAGAGTTTCCTGACAAGGCTCTGTCTCTTATGCCAACAGGACAATTGTCTCCAATTCTCCTCATAATCCAGAACTGGGTCACCCTTCATCATTGTGAGTCACACTCTGGGTCTGCTACTTGATCCTTTGCTCACTAGGGTGAACTTGAATTCCTTTGGCTGATTTGAGCCAATTAGAATTATCTGGGACTGGGGTAGAAGTCTGTTTTACCTAAGATCAAGGATATCTAATGGTATCAGAGCAAAACTGGGCTCTGTGAGTAGAGAAAGAGGAGTGTCTGCCGCAAATGCATTTACACTTTACTCAGAAGGCACAAAGCTCATCTATGACTCATTTCCCACTCTGCATTTATACTTGAAATCAACAGGCTTCTTCCTTAATTCATTTTTTGCTTAGTTATAGTGTCTGAGTTATTTACTTCATTTATTTAACCAACACTTATGGTGTCCTTTCTATGTATAGATATATAGATTGTGGAAATAAAAATGAATAAAACATGAATAAAAATGACATCTATCCTTGAGATACTTACAGCTTCATGGGAGAGGCAGAATGTAAACAGTAAATTACAATGCAATACCAATTTAAAAGGACGACCAGAAGCAGTTTGCTTTTACCAGGTAGAGCCAATAATATACCTTCAGCCTCTTTCCTCAGGGCTATATATTAATTCTCCTGCTCTCTGCCATGACAGTTCATCAAGAACTCGATCATCTTGGCTGGGCACAGTGGCTCATGCCTATAATCCCAGCACTTTGGGAGGCCGAGGCAGGAGGTTTTCTTGAGCCCAGGAGTTCAAGACCAACCTGGGCAACATAGTGAGACCTCGTATCTATTTAAAAAAAAAAAAAAAAAAAGAACTTGATCATTTTCACATTTCACAAAACATCACTAATTCATTACTTTGATGGCATTGTGCTGATTGTATCTGGTAAGAAAATTAGCAAGAACTTTAGATGCCTTAGTAAGAACCTTGTGAACTAGGGGATGAAATAAATTCAGGATCCCACGACTTTAGTGCAATTTCTGGAAGTTCAATAGTTTAAAGCATATCACAACATTCCCTCCAAAGGAAAAGAAATTTGTTGCACCTTGACTGACATGCCACAGAAAAAGATTATTTTAGTGGACTTAGTAAACTTTTTTTAAATTTTGGAAGCAACATATCTCACATTTGAGTGTGTTACTTTAACCATTTACAGAGTCTTCCAGTTTCAAATAATGACTGGAGTAAAAGAAGATTCTGCAGCAAGTCCAGGCTGCAGTACGAGCTTCCTTGGAATCCCTTTCTTATTTGAAACATGTGATTGATATGTTGTATTTTCATAAAAGTAGATTTACCCACACAACTGCAAGTGCAAAGAAAATGTAGGACCTTGATTTTCTATCTGATTATTCCCAAGAGTTCTCACACTGCTGAGTGATGAGCCAGTGAGAGGGAGAACAACTGATGTTGACTATCTTTGTCTGCCAGTCTAGTTTTTAAATGAGTTGTTAAACTAGAATTCTCATTGAAATAGTCTCTTGGAGTAAATGTTCAGTCTTCTAGAGTTCCTTCCCTTCCTCATGGTCCTTCTGCACAGGGAGACATGCCACCCTTGTGGTGATGGAGAAAGAGACCTCTGATTTTTGCTGCTTTGGCCTTAAGGTGTTTACCTATTTTGGTCTGGGACAGAGTCTGCTGAGTTTTCATTGATCATATTTTACCTTCTGGTGCACTATCTGTCATCCAGAGATGAAAGCAGTGGTCCCAGTCACTTGCTTCTGTTCATGAAGTACCTGTGCTGTATGTATGGTATTTTTGTTTTCCCATCAGGTCTTCCAGTGTCCCTGCCTCTTATTGCTAGGCTGAAGAAACTGATAGCTTCCCATAAACAGGACCCACAAGTCGAAGGAACCAGGATCATTACCTTAAACTCAGTCATATATTCACCTCACCTTGCCTACGATGTACTGTCACTCTCCCATGCCATTTTGGCATAGCACAAAAGTACATGCTGAACTATAGACCTGTTCTTAAGGGGTTGTGTTTTCCAGTTTCACATGTGGCATGGACTTTATTTAAGCTTGAGTTTTCTCCAGTCTCATTTAGGGTAAATTTCTACTTCAAGTATGCTAAGGGTCTTGATATATTAATAAAAGCATACATAATTTAGAAATACCTTTTCTGTTTGACAAAGGCTGACTCTCAAAGGCTCACAACTCAAGTTGAACAGTGATCCCTTTGTTGTAGTTATTATCTCAATATCTTCCTAAAGATATAAATGAATTAAGCCAATGGGTAGGATGCCATGGGGCAGCAAGACTTGAGTAACATGAAAATACATCTAATCTATCAGTAGTAGACATCTATTTTTGAGGTTCCCTTGTCACAGTGAACAAAATGTGTGCTGACCTTTTTTGGAAACACTTTTTCAATACAATATACACTTGTAAGATCTTGGGCTAGAAACGCTACTCTAGGTATAGCCATGGCATACAATTAAACCTATCCATTTAGTCATTTAATTTATCTTGTACTTATTTGTATTCTTAATTATTGCCAACTAATATAACCATATAGGTTACATTATAGGATTATTTCTTACAATCTAGGGAAGAGCAAACAACTGCTTTCCTATAGAATATAAGAGCATAGATACATTCTCTTAATTTACTGGCTTCTTTTAAAAATCCAGTGGGATAATGGGAAAGTGTGTGAAGTACTCTATTCAATAAATGCTGTTTTAAAATATTAATGGTTAAAATTAACATTTTAATTTTTAAATTAAAAACAATGTGTTTTAAAATTGTTTTTGGTGCTTCTAAAATAATTTAATTTTAAATGTTTTATAGTTTACATTCCACTAGTCTTTAAAATCATAGGTTGGTCTTTTAAAACAGTTAAACATATCAGAAAATTTTAAGTTGTCTTTCATCATTTGTCATATTTAATTAACTTTGTCAGTTGATACCTCAAGAATTGAATTGCTGGCATGAAAACTATTTTGTATTGGAATTTAGCTAAGGGTGAACATTAAAAGTTCACTTTGAATTGTTTTTCTGTTTGGCTTCTCTTAGGTATTTGGATTTGCTCAAGGACACGAACCTTATTAAAACTCAGGATGTGTTTACAGTCATTCGATATATCTCATATAACAGCTATGGGAAGAACATGGCCTGGAATTGGATACAACTCAACTGGGACTATCTAGTCAACAGGTGGGATGATCTGATGATGGTCTGCTGTTTTCTTTGTTTCATACTATCTACTGGTTCCTTCATTTTTCTTTGGGCCACTGTCTCTGACATCTATACAATATCTAAAATGGCATTATTAGAGGTAAAGGATCATGGTATTATCCTTCCAGGGAAGCAATGTACTAGTTAATTTTAAGAACAATTTTTTTCTGGAAATTATTGTTTCAACTGACCTATAGGATTCTGAGATCTGGAAGACTAAATTGCATTATTTTTAGTTTGGTTAAAACAAGTTAATACAATTCTGCCTGTTGTGCTAGTACCTAGCATAATGCCAGGCACATATTTAGTTCTCAATTAATGTTTGATTAAAGCTAGGTAAAAATTATTGGACCTGGGTTCAAATTAGAGTTCTATATCATACTGAGCTTATGTGGGTGATAACTATTACCTATCCTGACCAGATAATGAAATTTCAAGTATTTTGAATGTTTCTTAAAAGGGAATTATATTTCCTAGGCAATAGAACTTTTAAAATGGGAAATAGCAAGGACAAGAGCAAAATCAGTTAAAGAGATGCCTTTCCAAACTTCGTATTTCCTCAGGCCCGTGCAGAAGAAAGATTGCTGCTCTTGGTTCTGATACTCTAAATATAATGCACAATTTCCATCCAAAAGGCAGTTCTTTGATAGAGTACAAAATAGAATATAGAATAAACGTATGTCCCAAATAAACATATAAACATTGATGAAAAGACCTTTACCATCTGTAATCCCTACATTAGGAAATAGCCTGTGTTATCTCCTCTTAATCTCTCCTGTCAATCCAGCGGCACTGTCTCATTGATAATGACTGCCTTGTGAGAAATACCAACTCTAATTATAACTTTTAATTATTTTCTCTTTTCTACCCCACAGCTCACCAGAGTGCTATTATGTCCATTTACATTTCTTTTCCTGCTGAGATTCAGATTCTACCTCTAGCTCCCAACCAAAATACACTACATTGCTTCTGCCTGCTTGTGATAAATTTTTACCTTTTCTATTCTTGTAACTATTGAGTGTCACTGTTCACCCATCTCTATGAAGATTGGTTGGTGTGCATGTGAGTGTGTGTGTGTGTGTGCACGCACATATGTGCATTGTTCATCTTTTATGATTGTTTAAATGAAATGCTTAATTTAGAATGAATGAATATACCTATTAAGAATATGTTATTATCTAGATGTAACAGTTTATATCATGCAAGGTAATACCCTCCATTTTGAAAAATATATGGCTAGTGATAAATACTGCATATTTTGTTTTAGTTGAAAAGACCATACAACTATCTCTTTTTCTGTGGTGTATGGTGCAGGAAACCTATGTAGATGAAGCATAAAAGTTACTTTTGAGTTACTATGAAAAGACAAGTAAATAATGGTTTATTTTGCATAAAATGGCCATTAACTTATTGTTTATTGAATAAATATTTCTCAAGGCCTATTTGAGTAGCTATGCTGTGATTTATTTCAAATAATGCATTTTTCATTTTTAAAAATTAGTTGTTTCACTTCAGGAAAATTAAGAAGTAGAAAAAAATAGGTTTTGCCTTGTCATAAAATTCATAAGTGTCTGGCCTTAAAATAAATGTATTAGGCCTGGTAAATTGATTATTTTTCAAGATAAAAAAAGAAGATAAACTATTTCCAGAAGTACTCCAAAACTCTTGCCCAAGGCTTTAGCATTTCTTCATAATCTAATGATCTAATTCTCATGAGACATTATTTCAAATGGCCCCAAATGTAAAATTGCTAATAACCACATGTCTAATACACACAAACACCCAATATTAATTGTACTTGGCTTGAATAAACAGAACTTCCCTATGAAAATTGGATAATAAAAATTAAACAAAAATGAGCCAAACTTTATCCAAATAATCCCAAACACTTGAACATTTTCCAAATTTCAGGATGAATAGTTTTACTATCTCCATTTCTGAACAATTTATGGTCATCCTGAAATAAATAATCTTCTATTTAAATAAAGCTTTTGTCATGTGATTTTTATGACAACTGATGGCCACACTGCTAATGTCCTTGCCAGTTTGAGACTTAGCCACAAAGTCCCAAAGATACTTCAGAAATTATTCTTTGCTTTTGTTTCTTCCAATAAACTCTTAGATGAAACTGTGAAGTTGAGTTGACCCAATAATAAGGTGGTGTGATTTTAGTTTATGACAGTAGATGAAAAACTAAGTCATTAGGACATGATTGAAACCCTTCAAATACTACCTCATAAACCAAACAATTTAATAAGCACTTAAAAGTTTTGTGTGTATTAAAATTATTTCTTTGGATAACATAATAATACTTGTATAAATATTGAATCCAAGAAGACAATATTTGTAAATTTTTTTCAAATTATTTAAAATATAATTAAATCCTTATTTTAGTTTTTAAAAATAACCAATATGATAAGCATGCAGTATATTTTCCCTTATTTTCTATACTTTATATGATATTAGTTTCCTGGGGTGTACATATTTTGTTCTGGCATTTCTGGTATTTAAACAAGTAGTTGCAGTTTTCACTCAGCATATTCATTGCTAGTTTCTAAATATGTCCTTTAGACAAAACAGAAATAAATATTACAGAAATTATAGAAGGTCACTGAAAACATTGTTTTATTAGCTGCAATTAGCAGACTTTCTTTGAATCTATAGAATCTCATCAAAGCAACTCAGTGTGATTTGCTTTTTTAAATTCCTGTTTTCTTATTGTGAAACTGGTATGTGTTTTTTGCACAAAATGCATACAAACAAAAATAAGAGTACAAAAATTACCTGTAATGCAACCACCAAGAAATAACTCCTATTGTCATATTACTGTTTCTCCTTGAGTTTTTCCATGGCTGTTTACTTAATTTACAGAAATGGAAACATATTATAAATATGGTTTATAACTTGCTTTTTTTCCTCATCATCCTATATTGTGGGTGTCTTTTCATGTCTTTAAGTGTGCATCTTCAATATTATTTTGAATGGCTTAATAATGTTTCAATGTGTACATACATCTTAGTTTATTTAGCCAATCCCTATATGTTGGACAATAGAATTGTTTCCCTACAACTATACGTAGTGTATTGATGAACAGTCTTGTACACTGAATCCTTTGTTGTTTTTTTTAATGTCCTTGACAATTTCTTTAGAATACAAGTAGTGGTAGAAGTAATGCTACTGGGTGAAAAGATGTGTTTATTTTTAGGGTTTCTGATAAATGTTGCAGAATTGCCATTCTAAAAACTGTTGCTAGTAACTGCCTATGTTCCCAACCTTTTTCAATGCTCAGTGTTGTTATTTTTATGTATCTTTGTTAATTGAATATATGAAAACTGATATCTCATTTTAAATTACATTTCTTCCATCCAGTAAATATTGTGGAGCACCTACTCTGTGCTAGGCATTATGACTGGCATTGGGGATGCAGTAGTAAGGAGAAGCAGACCTGGTTCTCTGTCGTCATGAAGCTTTGAGTAGAGACAAATTTTAAGTAAAGAGTCACACAAATACATGTATACTTTATTATACGTAAATTATTAAAGTATAAAAAAGTTCAGGTCTTAGGCAAAAATGTTATTCAAAATGGTAGACCATGGAATCTAAACTACATAAAGAAATAAATGCAAGAATAGGAAGATCTGATGGTTTAAGTGATAGAGGGGTGGGAATAGTCAAAGGGCCAGAAGTCCAGGTAAAGTGAAAGAACAGTCACAGTGGAAACTGAAAGACATAACATGTCATAGAGGGTGAATAAATTAGCAATTTTAGAGGCAGATGACTTACGGATGATCACAAAGTATCTTAGGAATTTGGTGGCTGAAGTCGAGTGAAGAAAATATCATCGGAAATAAGGTTAAGGAACTAAGAGAAGAGATGTTATATCATTCATCTGTATGGATCTGGAAATTACCTAGAATGATGGCATGGCTTGGAGGAGTCAGGTACCAGAATGTATCATTAAATGCGAGGGACTAACATAAGGGAACAGAGGTTTTTAAAGAGGCTGGAGGAATGCTGGTCTGGAAGCAGCAATGGGGAGCATGAGCACACTGACTATTTCCTGACCTGATGCTACAAAGGATGTGGGAATATAAACATTCTCTTAAGTGAGAATGAGAAGTAGTGTTCCCTGTAAAGGGACAGTTCCAGAGGGCTAGGTGAAAGGGTTCAAGAGCCTGGGGAGATCTAGGAAATGTGTCAGAGGCCAGAAAGTACACACTTTTAGGGGCAGCATTACTAATGCCTCAGAATCACATTTTAGATAATGACTGATGACATTAGGGATGAAAAAACATATTGGCTTTAAATTCAGTGGCGTCTGTGATAAGAGTGGGCACTGGATCTGGTACACTGAAATCATGCTTGATTACTAGAACATTTTATTCTTTTCCCATTGGTACATTTTCATTCCTTTGCTAAATTCATGCTGGCATATTTCTCCCTGTTACCAATTTGTAAGGGTTCTTTATATGGCAAAAATATTTGCTCTTTATCATATATATTACAACGATTTGTTCTCGATTAGTATTTGGCTTCTAATTTTGTATATGGTAGGATTTTTTTTTTTTTTTGTATAAAACTCTTTTGTTACCCAGACTAGCCTTGAACTCCTGGGCTCAGTGGATCCTCTCATCTCAGCTTCCCAAGTCACAGGGATTACAAGGGCAAACCATCACCTCCCAGCTCAGTATAAAAGTTTTTAATTTGCATAAAACAAACTATCAGCTTTTATCTTCATGATTTCTGCTTTTGCATATATATATAGGAATGGAAACATTTAATATTTATAAAAATTATATATATATATATATATATATAAATTTTTTTTTGAGACAAGGTCTCACTCTGTCACCCAGGCTGGAGTGCAGTGGCACAATCTTGGTTCACTGCAGCCTCGACCTCCCCAGTTCAAGCGATCCTCCCGCCTCAGCCCCTAAAGTAGCTGGGACTACTTGTGGGGCGCACACCACCACGTGCCCAGCTACTTTTTGTATTTTTGTTAGATATGGGGTTTCACCATGTTGCCCAGGGTGGTCTTGAGCTCCTGACCTCAAGCCATCTGTCCACCTTGAGATCGCAAAGTGCTGGGATTACAGGCGTGAGCCACCGCAGCCAGCCTGTAATAATTTTTAAATGTAAAATTTATCCTATTGCTGTGTACATATTTTCTTGTATCCCTCCTCAACATTCCAGGGGTTTAAGGTTTATATATAATTTTGTGGGTTTCTTGCACTGTGATTAGTTGTGATGAGATTTTTTTTACCTCTATCACAACCATTTGTGGTCTATGAGGAAACTTCTGGTTCTTGCTTTTTATGAAAGAAAATGCAAAGAGAACAGGGGTAGAATATCATCTTTAAAATTCTGTCTTGGAATTTAGCTTTAGGTTTCTCTGCTTAGGCAGACTGATATAGATCATAACCCCCACATGCCAGCAACTAATAAAGCTTTTTGAAAGCAGAATAAATAGCCTATATTTAAATTTCTGTACCAGTAGGAAGATGCATAGAGTATTAGGATAACGATGCTGGAGGTGTTCTGCCGTAACGGAAACACAGAAAGGCAGCCGCTGAAAGGGCATGTGTGGGTAATTAGTTCTCACTATGGTTAGACTCCTGAAGTGAGTGGTCCAAGTTGTTAGCGTGCTTCTGCTCTGTGAGGCCAGGCCAGTATCCTGTCTGCATGGCTGAAGACGAATCACTGGTATGTACATGTTCTAGCTTGGGGGAAGAGGAGAGAAAAACCAGGAAGTCTAGGCAAGCAATTTCCCTTTATTTAAGCAAGGAAGCTGCAGCTGAACATTGTGCTAATGTTCTGTTGGTAAGAATTGGGTTACCTGTGGACATCTAGCTATGAGAGAGCCTGAGAAACAGTCTCTAGCAGGGCGCTCATGTGTGCAGAAAAAAAAAAAACAGATTTGGGGACTACAACAAGCAGTCTTCCATATCTCAGAGGGTCGTGTCAATTTGTCTACCAAAAGAAGTGCAGAGTGTACTAAGAATTTATCTTGAATAGAATGATTTTAAGTAAAATGGGTTTTCTTACTGTGTTTTGCTTACTTTGAAAGTTACTTTTAAAAACTATGAAATAAAAAGGAAACATCTGCATTTAGAGAAAATATGTAACATTCTGAGCACTTACACTTCCTTTTACTCTAAATTTCTCTCCAGATATACACTCAATAACAGAAACCTTGGCCGAATTGTCACAATAGCAGAGCCATTCAACACTGAACTGCAACTGTGGCAGGTATGAAGATAAATTCCTCTGCATTTGTCCAAGAAGGAGCAGAATGAAACTTTTTTAAAAAAAATTTTACTTTAAGTTCTGGAATACATGTGCAGAATGTGCAGGTTTGTTACGTAGGTATACACGTGCCATGGTGGTTTGCTGCACCTATCAACCCGCCATCTAGGTTTTAAGCCCCGCATGTGTTAGGTATTTGTCCTAATGCTCTCCCTCCCCTTTCTCCCCACCCCCTGACAGGCCCTGGTGTGTGATGTTCCCCTCCCTGTGTCCATGTGTTCTCATTGTTCAGCTCCCACTTATGAGAGAGAACATGCGGTGTTTGGTTTTCTGTTCCTGTATTAGTTTGCTGAGAATGATGGTTTCCAGCTTCATCCATGTCCCTGCAAAGGACATGAACTTATTCTTTTTATGGCTGCCTAGTATTCCATGGTGTATATGTGCCACATTTTCTTTATCCAGTCCATCATTGATGGGCATTTAGGTTGGTTCCAAGTCTTTGATATTGTAAACAGTGCTGCAATAAACCTACATGTGCATGTGTCTTTATAGTAGAATGATTTATAATCCTTTGGGTATATACCCAGTAACGGGATAGAATGAAACTATTTTTTCAAATAGAAATGATATTTTCTCAATTCAAATCACAGAAGACAATGAGAAAGAAAATTCTTTTTGGTTTTGTATTTTTAAATTGTATATATTTAAGGTGTAAAACATGTCTTTATTTATCTTGATAAGTATACACAGTGAATTGAGAAATAATTCTTGTATCTAATAAAATGTACACCTATTTTTTTTCTAAACATAAAACAATTCAAAGAGCCTCTAAGAAAGTTTAAAAGCTGCAAAAGTTGAGGTGGCGGGGGGCTGAGAAGGCCACACCAGACAGTTCAGCTCATGAAATCATGGGCAGAAAGTCTCGCCTCTCCTGTAAATGTAACTCTGGAACAAGTTGGTCAAGATTTGATTCCATTCAGAATTCATAGTTTTGCAATTTCAAAACTAATCTCAAATCTTTCCGGTTTCAAATATCTCAAGTCCAAAGGAGGAGAAATGTCTATTAATGTTGAACAGGTAGAGATTGTATGAAGTTTCAATATCTGTGTGTTAGATATTGAATGCTAAGAGTTTTCTGTATGTTAAAAAGCCAAATTATTCTTATTTTTATAGCAAATAATCCTAGTATGGTTGAGTTTGGGGTAGGGCTTTGGAGGTCAGAGGGAGTACAGCACTAATTTTAAGAAAGATTTGTTTTATGAGTCCTTAATAAGTGAACTGAAAGTACATTAAAATACTCCAGACTCCTGGAGTGAAAGGCTAAGGAAAACCATCACTCCATAGGTGAGATTTTCCAGGGAACACCTTGGGGAATTCAGAGAAAATAGAGAAAGCAGCAGAAACAGAAATGGGCATGCTAGCGACTGACATGCTGCCATCCTTCTCCAAAATGTCAGAGCCTATTTTGGCTTGACATGCTGTGGGGATCCAAAAGCCATGGGTAACTATTGCTAATCTGAGAGATGGGTTCAGTCTGAATGATGCGCCAGAGGTGTAGCTCAACGTTGTGCAGTGATACTGAATTTCTAGGTAAGAAGAAAGCAAATCCAGTTTGTGAATGAAATTCTTGAAGACTAATTTGGCTATAAATGACAATCCTAATTACTCCCCTCTCTTTTCTAGATGGAGAGCTTTTTTGCAAAATATCCACAAGCTGGAGCAGGAGAAAAACCTAGGGAACAAGTGCTGGAAACAGTGAAAAACAATATAGAGTGGCTAAAACAACATAGAAACACCATCAGAGAATGGTTTTTTAATTTACTTGAGAGTGGTTAATGTATTCAAATGTTAGAGTTTAATTTTGTGAATCTATTGTTTCTCCTCTGAAGCATTTGGTGGCCTAATTTACAAGCACGATGGAGAGAGCCTTATAAACAGATAATGC
Source organism: Homo sapiens (assembly GCF_000001405.40). Taxonomy (NCBI): domain Eukaryota; kingdom Metazoa; phylum Chordata; class Mammalia; order Primates; family Hominidae; genus Homo; species Homo sapiens. The sequence goes on from NC_000004.12 coordinate 110,561,668, forward strand.
TTTTACTAAGCACTGTGTTTATATGTCTTGCAAAGCCTTTAAATTGTTCCTCTTTGTTTATGAAGAAAGATACTAATAGAGTACTTAATATACTCAGGGATTCCTTCTAAGTGTACTTCATAAGATATTCTTTACAAACTGAAGATAATGAAATAGTTATTTTAATACCTTTAAATATCATTCTTTGTATCTTAAATCTGTGAAGTAGAACAATTTGGTCTTAGCTTTACATTTTCAGTACCAAAGAAACACCACTTAATCTTCTCTCTTGATTGATTTTTAAAGTTTAAATACCAGTACTTGAGGGACCAATATTACCATCTTAATCTTTATTTTATTATTCAGAATTATACAGACCTAATATCATTTTATTCACATATGTCTTACTACTTTAAATCCTACCAAAGTAACCTGGGCTTAAGTTTTACTTGAGGATCATATGAATTAGCCAAAAGAATGGCTGACTGTTGCCTTTGCTCTTATAAAATCAATAAGAGAACTCTCCTCTTTTTTTAAAAATAAATCTAAATGATTATCTTGAAAAAGTATTGTTTTCCAGTGTCACTTGACTCTTGAATAAAAATAACTGCAGTGTTCCCCAAATAATTTAACACATTGCAAATATGATTCAAGAATCTGGCCTTTTTCATGCTTGGTACTCTCTTCTCTTGCTCCATTCCTTACAAAGCTCCTTCAAATATGCTATGAAATTAGAGGGAACATAGTGCTTAACTCTGCTCCATGGATTTTAGAGGAAAAAAGCTAAATAATTGGAAACTGTTCAGGAAAGAGAGAAGGCAGATTATTTCTTAAAACTAAATGGAATTAGAATTTAGCTTTGACCTCACCTAGCAATCTAAGTGTGAAAATGGGGAGACCTGTGGGCATCCCCAGCATGACTCTGCATATCTGAGCATATATCTCCTTATAGATCAATTTTATGTATAAACCCTTAGATCCTAATCCATACAGAATAGCACTGATCAAATTTAAATGCATGACTTGATTAAAGACATCAATTTCATAGAAGCTGGTGGCAAGAATATGTTTAATATGGCACTTGATACCTCCTAGATCCATAATGTAAGTCCAATAGGCAGAAAAGATGGTAAGTTACTATGTTTCAATCTGCTATATCTAGAAAATCTAAATTTATTTGGAACTTTCAAAAATGTAAGGTAATTTAGAATCGGCTTGATGAGAATTGAAGCATATGGAAACAAAACCTTAGCTTTAACTTTATTTATACAATAATGTGCCCTAATCATGTACTCTGAAACTTTATAAACTTTCCTGTTGCTGTTTCTTAATTATCACTTCTCAATCCGTACAGCCAAACTAGTAAATTCAAATGTAGACTGGGTTGTGGGTGGCAGATATAGAAGAAGAAATTTCCAGACCAAAAAATATTAAATATTATTTTAAATTATTTCAGAAGCAAAAACATATTAACATCATAACTTACCAGAAAAACCCCACTATCCTCATAAGATTAACTTAAAATTCTGACCACAATCAGAACCAGCACTTGAAGTCTATGTATTGTTTCAAGTAGGACATATTATGAGGTGAGATGGTTTATCCTTCTGTTTTATGAAATTAATACATTTTAAAAGAAAAATGTTAGTTTAAGGGGGTGGTAAATAAAACAGATTTCAACTTGCCTACAAGACATTCTATTTCATGCCTTTTCCTTTTGTTGTTCTATTTCATTCTATTTTAAGCATTAAAACTGAGAACAAATTGTTTACTTCTTTTCACTCCACACGCGAAAGAGTTGTATGTACTTTGTCAGAATAAGTCTTCTAGACCATCAGGTCCTTCTCAAACAACACCTGTTTTTTAAAAGGCTGATGCCTAATAGATAGATCTATGCCAAGCACAGTTTATTACTTTGCTTGCTTGGTTTTGCACAGTATTCACAGGGGACAAAAAATTTAATATGATGTTTCCAAAATTAAGCCACAGTAAATTTAAATAATTAATTTTAATTGAAAAAAAGTAACCATTTAATTTCAAGAATTAACTGGAAAATATGGGAAGCAAGGTCATGTAGCAAAAAGCAAGGCCAGTATTACTGCCTCCCCTCTAGGCAGCCCACTCCTGTATTCCAGATCATTGCTATGTACCCACATAATTATAAATTAGGAGTTTAAATAATAAAACATAGACGTAAAACTGACAGGCAAGGGAGGTTTGGGAAACAGGGGTGAGATGTATACCTGGGTTGAAGGTAATGATACTCCTACAGCTTACCCTCCAAGTTGGTGAAGTGTTAGTCCAAAAGTAGAAACAACAGAGTAGGGGCAAAAATCTAGAACAATAATTCTCAAAGGGAATTGGGGGATGAGAAGGAAGTAGAAAAGAGGGGATTCAAATTACCAGTGGTGCTTTCTAAAACACGGTTAGGTAATCATCATCATCAGACTTTCCTTTTTTTTTCAAGCATTTTTATAAACACTAGCACTCCACATAACATTAATTTTTACAAAACCCCCTTAAAGTAGATACTGTTATTGTTCTTATTTTAGAGTGGATAAATTGAGATGGAGAAGTTATAGAACTTGCACAAGGCTACAAAAGTTGTATTTGGCACCAGCCAGTATTTGAACCCAGGCAGTTTATCACTCTAATCTACATTTTAATCTGTATTAGAGTAAAAATATGCTTTTGAAATCAGAGTGACCTGGGTTGGAATATCAACTACTTGGTAGTTGAGTGCTTTTAACCTCTCCATTGTTGTTTCATCTATAAAGTAAGGATCAAAATAGTAGCTACCTCAATGGTAGTTGTGAGGATTAAATACAAAAATGCATGTAAAGGACATACGTATAGGAAATAACAATCACTCAATAAGTGTTAGCTCTTATTATTGTTACTATTATATCTCCCCATCCCTACTTAAGACACTAGTTTGAAGAATAAAATAAACTTTGGTTCAGGAATAACCAAACCTAAGCAACTGAAGGCACTAAGGGTAGGCTATGTGTTAGCCTGTGTTATTGTTCATAAATAGTAATTGCCCTGGTCTGGAAGAGGATTCTATATCCTACCCCATTGTAGTCTAGCATGGTATGTGACTTGCTTTGGCCAGTGAAACAGAGTGAAAATGATGTATGTCAATTTTAGGCAGAAACGTCCAGAGCCAGCACTTGGTTTGCCATGTTCTCCGTGTTTCTTCTGCTCCTAGATGCAGCAGTATTCCAGATAGAGGCCGCACTATGAGCCTGAATTCCAGGATAAAAACAACATGGAATAGAACTTAGCCAGCACAGAGTACACATGTGCTGTAAATGAGAAATACCCCTTTGTTATTGTAAATCACTGAGATTTTGAGGTTGTCTGTTACTGCAGCATAATCTAGCCTAATATAAACACCAAACTAATATACTCCTCTACCATAGTAATTTATTTCTTGTTCTTTCTCCTCCTCCTTCCTCTACTTCAGGGTTTAGCGACCTTTTGCCTGCCTGTTTTTGTAAGGCCTGAAAGCTAAACATAGTTTTACATTTTTAGATGGTTGAAAAAATCAAAAGGAGAATAATAGTTCATGATGTAAAAATTATATAAAATTTAAATAAATGTCGGCATCCTTAAATAAAGTTTTATTGGAACACAGCACATACATTCATTTATGTATGGATTATGGCTGCTTTTCCTGCTACAACAGCAGTGCTGAGTAATTGCAATAGATTTTATGGCCCACAAAGACTAAAATATTCACCATCTGGCCCATTACAGAAAGTTTGGTGACCCCTGCTAGATATCATCTTTACTCCTTCCCTCCTTTTGCATTCAATTCTTTTTTTTTTTTTGATAGAATCTTGCTCTGTCGCCCAGGCTGGAGTGCAGTGGAAAGATCATGGCTCACCACAGTCTTGATCTCCTGGGCCTAAGTGACCCTCCTGCCTCAACCTCCCAAGTAGCTGAGACCACAGGCATGTGCCACCACCCCAGGCTAATTTTTTGTAGAGACAGCATCTCACTATGTTGCCCACGCTGGTTTCAAACTCCTGACCTCAAGCAGTCCTCCTGCTTCAGCCTCCTAAAGTTCTTTTTTCTTCTTCTTCTGCACTCTAACCCAGAGTTTCTCAACCTCATCACAATTCACTTTTGGGGCCTGACAATTTTTTTTTTTTTTTAGACGGAGTCTCGCTCTGTAGCCCAGGCTGGAGTGCAGTGGCACGATCTCCGCTCACTGCAAGCTCCGCCTCCCGGGTTCACGCCATTCTCCTGCCTCAGCCTCCTGAGTAGCTGGGACTACAGGCGCCCGCCACCAAGCCCGGCTAATTTTTTTTGTACTTTTAGCAGAGACGGAGTTTTACCGTGTTAGCCAGGATGGTCTTGATCTCCTGACCTCGTGATCCACCCGCCTTGGCCTCCCAAAGTACTGGGATTACAGGCGTGAGCCACCGTGCCCGGCCGGGCCTGACAATTTTTTAGGGCTATTCTGCACACGGTAAAATGTTTAGCACCATCCTTGATCTTTATTCTCTAGTTGCCAGTAACACTTCCTCCAACCAAAAATGTCTTTACACATCATTGCCAAATGTCCTCTGGGTGGCCAAATAGCTTCAATTAAGAATCACCGCCTGACCCTAAACTTGTGAATAGAAGCTGCAGGCATTATTTAAGCACCCAAAATGGTAAGAGAATGCTGCTGACTTAACGTAGTCCTACCTAAGGTTACAGAAATCAAGAGACCAAAAATGCCTGGGGAAAGGAGCAATACTAGAGAGAATGCTAGCCTAAGTCAGGGTTTTCCAGAGAAATAGAACCAATAGGAGCTATATCTATATATAATTTATATGTGTAAATGGAAATTTATTTTATTTACATATGAAAGAAGATATATAAGACTTAAAAAAGAATTTTATTACGAGGAATTGGTTCATGTGATCATGGAGACTGAGAAGTCCCACAGTCTGCCATCTGCAAGCTGGAGATCCCAGAAAGCCAGTGGTGAAATTCAGCCTAAGTCTGAAGGCCTCAGAACCAGAGAAGCCGATGGTGTAAATCCCATTTACAAAGGCAGGAAAAGATGAGATGAGCTCTCCGAAGTCAAGCAGTTAGACAGAAAAAAAGAGGGGCAGGGATGGGCAAATTCCTCCTTCCTCCATCTTCTGTTCTATTTTGGCCCCCAAAAGATTGGATGTTGGATGGTGCCCACCTATATTGGTGAGTACAATCTACTTTCATGAGTCCCCTGACTCAAATGCTGATCTCATCGGGAAACTTCCTTACAGATACACCCAGATATAATGTTTAATATGGGCACTCTGTGGCCCAGTCAAGTTGACATATGAAACTAGTCATTACAACTGAATAAAGTACTCATTCATTCAAATAACTAATATTTATAAATTTTCTGTTATATAATAAACCCTATTTTAGGTACTGGTTGTCCTACATTAGTGAGTGGATTTAGAAAACAATTGGAAAGAGAAACTAAGTTAAGAGAGTAATGGGATAGGATGAGACAAATGGAGAAAGAAGAATGACTAACTTCAGCAGTTGACAATATGTTGGCCTGATATTCCACTAGAGAGCCCTTAAATATTAACCTTTGCCATGTACATAAATAAAATGTCGATGACTTGTTAATGGCAATTTAGATTGTAAATGGCAATTTAGATGTAAAGATCTGCTAGATATTGTCTGCTGGCACTGGGCCACCAATTCTCCCACCTTCTATATCCTGTCTTCCTTAACTGCAGGGCTGGGATGCTAAAGACTGCACTCCCCAGGCTTCCACATGATTTCAGTTCCGCTGATGATGCGCAGTCGTATGAGATTCGGAAGGAAATGAGAGAAGAGGCTATTCTTCTTCCCATGACAGTGCAGGGGGAAACAATGTTGAGGGTAGACATGAATTGGCAGCCTCTGAACTCTATGTCCCTGTCTATTTACTAAAACTCTGCGGTGCAGGGAGGCTCAGATATATTCTCATAATGTCCTCATTTCTGGGTGATCTTAGCAGTTTTTAACGTCTGGATCAGAAAGGTGGAGATATGCCACCTTTAAACCAAAAGGCTGGCATGTACCCTCTAATTTCTATCCCTCAAGGCCTTTTAATGGCATGAAATTGCCTAATCTCCCGAAATAATCCATTTCTGCTTGGAATACCTTGAGAAGTTCCTGAACTGGCACCTGAATTATAAAAAATGGAACTGCAGATTTTATTTTGGTTTATATTTTCATTTAACTCTGTGTTTCTTTCCTGCCCATTGTCTTTAGCATATAAAAAACTGCAAGCAGGGTCTTTTGCTTGGCACAGACTGATGGAATGGACTGACTCTCAGAGAGTCTACTTCAGCCTTGATAATTTTGGGAGTATTAGATAAATGATTACATGTAGCATTTGGAACAGATTATTTCCTGTGGTAAAGGGAAAAGAGCTGGAGCAATGTGTTTTTCTTTTCTGTTAGGACACACAGACCTATTCGAATGCACCATTGATAAAACCATCAAGACTGATTTCCCTAGTTCCTCAAATGTTAAATGTAGAGTTACCAAATGATATAGCAATTCCACTCCTCAGAATGTATCCAGGAAAAGCAAAGCCTATGTCCACACAAAAACAAATACATAAATGTTTACAAAAGGATTATTCAAATAACCAAAAAGCAGAAATGAAAATAATTGAAATGTCCATCAATGGGTGAATGGATAAACCAAAGAGGGTACAGCCACAAAATGGAATATTATTCAGCCATAAAGAAGAACATAGTGACACATACTTTAACAGGGGTGAACCTTGAAAATATGCTAAATGAAAGAAGCTATTCACAAAAGGCCACATATTATATGATTCTATTCATATGAAATGTCCTGAATAGCCAAATCTATAGTGACAGAAAGTAGACTGGTGGGTGTCAGGGGTTTGGAATATGGGGAGAGACTGCTAAAGCTTTTTTTTGAGGTGATAAAAATGTTCTAAAATTAGATAATGGCGATGGTTGCACAATTCTGTAAATATACCAAAACCCACTGAACTGTATACTTAAACAGGGTAAATTTTACAGTATATGAATATACTATATTTATCTCTCAATAAAACTACTGCTTAAAGACTTATTTTTCCTCCTGAGCACTTCACTAAAATAAATCACAGAGTGGCACTGGCTGAGGAAGAAGTCTTATAGTCCCTGCAACAGATAGTGATAATTTTCCTTTTGTCAAGGTGCTAATGAAGTTTGTCTCCTTCAAATTACTTCTTTCAGATTTAAGAATTTGCATCATTAATTCTGAAAAATCTTTATATTTTTATTCAAAGATAAAACCCATTCTTATATTGGATTCTTCATCATCAGGACTCCATGTGATCTTGGTAGAACTGAAAATCACAGAGCTTCATTTTCCCCTACCTCTCACCATAATATCCCATCCTCCAATTGCAGTAGTAAATTCAGGAGTATTCACTTGATCTGAGCAGAGTAAATTAATGTATTTATTCAGGGTTATGGTACATAACTATTAGGGCAGCAAAGTTTCTCTTTCTGCTTGGATTACTAATCTAGGAGATTCCTGGAGCTGTTGCTGGTCATTTTACTGCTACATGGAGAGAAACTAAGCAGAAAAAAGCTGAGTTAAGAGAGGAAGGATACAGAGAACCTGACATTATTTGGGACCCTAAATGTATTTAATAGCTACCCGTATATAGACATCCCTTAGATCTTTGAAATAAATGAGCCTATAAATATCAATGTGTAAGCTGGTTTAAATGGAGCCTCTCAGTTTCATACAAATAAAAACTGTCCCCTTTCACCCATAAACTGAGACTAGCACTGGGGAAAGCAGCTAAACTACATAAGGAAAAAATAAAAACAAAATGAAGCAGGATAAAACAAATGGCTTAAAAGATATTAGTTTGTTAACTTAATCATGTGTCATATTAAATTATGTATTTTTAAATGCCTAGGGAAAATTTTAATTTTTATGACGAGCACAAATTTTTAAAAAGTTTATATTGTGTTACTTTTCTACAAGAAGGAAAAAGGCTGTCAACTGCAAAGGCTTATTCTATATTCTTGAATCCTCAGCCTTTTCTGGAATGCACATACTTGTCTAATTAAAAGAACATAATCTGGCTGGACGCGGTGGCTCACGCCTGTAATCCCAGCACTTTGGGAGGCCGAGGTAGGCGGATCACGAAGTCAGGAGTTCGACACCAGCCTGACCAACATGGTGAAACCTCGTCTCTACTAAAAATACAAAAATTAGCCGGGCCTGGTGGCATGTGCCTGTAATCCCAGTTACTCAGGAGGCTGAGGCAGGAGAATCGCTTGAACCCGGGAGGCGGAGATTGCAGTGAGCCGAGATTGCGCCACTGCGCTCCAGCCTGGTCAACAGAGCAAGGCTCTCTCTCAAAAAATTTAGTCTCAATAGTTGTTTCTGATCATCTAAAATTTCGCTCTTGTGCCCATTCTACTCACACTTTCATCTCCACTCTTCCACTAACACTGTGCTTGCTGAAGTCACCTTTCTAAATTCAGTAGTCAGTTCTCAAGGCAATTCTACAGAAAGCCAAAATAATAATGTCTAAGTACAGACTTAACTGATAACTGGCTAAGTCTAAAGTTATATTTTAGAATATCTGACAAATTAAATGATCTGTATTCTTCAGAAAATCTCTCTAAAATACTCAGTTGAATTTTGGTAAGTTTCATGAAAACAAGTGAGTTTGAGTATACATGTTCTCTATTGCTACTTTCACAGTCAGATGAACTGAGGAAATGTTGACATATTCTTATGAAAGTTGAGAGGTAGCTATCTCAATAAAATCCACTCCAAAAATAGAACCATTGTGCAAAGATAAGGTTTTCTTACATCAATAATTTTGCATGCATATACTCTAACACAGAGGCAAAATTATTAAGTTCCCCAAAATTACAGGATGCAGAACATGGCTCCAGTTGTTTTAGTCTATAAAATGTTTTAAGAAAATATTGCCGAGCTTCCTCCTCAGCCATCTCCCCTTGGAGAAAAATAATAATAAAACAACTCTTGATAAAGTAACATAAAATCTATAACTTTAATCAATACATGTTTGCAATTAACACTTCAAGATAAATTGAACATGTATTATAATTGAAAATATCTATGTCAAAATTATAACAATGATTATGCCTGAGTGATAGAACTGGTTCTTATCCAAAGAGTTAAAGGCCTAAGTCTAAGGATCTATAAAAGCTCAAATGAATGTATGCTTTTAGCGAGAGATTTATGCACAACATGATTGTGAAGAGACTACATGCTCTCTAATTTTTCAGAAAAGTTCAAACTTGAAGTTTATTAGGAATAAAGTTATAAAAATTTAGACACAATGCCTGGTAAACTGAGGAGGGGCTTCCTTAATGGAGAAGAATCAAAATGAGTAGAGAGTCACACTTCCAATAGATCATCTAAGAGAGAACACTGGAATTCAACAGAGAAGTGATGGGAAGCACCTAAAGCAAGTAAGGAGGGGGAAACAAGGCAGGCTGTTCATTTGGGATCAGCTGGGAGGCTGAAGAGGATCCTTAATGTGGGGAAAGGGAAAATGAAAGACCCACAGCACTACAATTCCCTATAATTCTAGGCACAGGAGAGTCCCTTGACTCTTGAGGGCTTTGAGAATAACACAGGGAGCTGCCTGCAGACTGTAAAAGGGCATTGCTCCAGACAGAGAGCTCATGCTGGGTCCCACAAACCACTGAGTCTTAAGCAGCTGCAGCACGGTACCATTTTGAGAGCCCAGCCCCCAGTAGAATGCATCCTGTCCTGGTGCTCAATAGCCTGTGAATCTCCACATCTCTGGAGCCCCATTGACACTGCCAGCTCACAGTGGCTACCACCTGGGCTGAGGCAGTAGCCACAATCAGCAACCCTGGCCACCCCAGCAAAAGAGTGGTTATGCATGTTCATGTGTTCTGAGGACAAATTCCACTGTCTGCAGCTGCCATCACTGTGATATCCCCCAACCCCATCCCAAGCCACCTGCCTATTGCTGCTCCCTCTTATTGCCACTCTGCCCTCCCCATTAACAGGGCCACAGTACAGCCACTGTTGCCTCCACGTGAGCATTCAGCCAGAGGCCTGAAGATTACCCTCCCCCTGCCTACAAGAGCCATCACCTGCACATACTACAGGGGCCTGAAGGCAGTACTTCCCAGCCTGGATCAATCCCCTACCTTCGTACCTGAGCACACCATCCAAGGGCCTGGGGATTGCTCAGCCTAGTCCACTGCTTTTGACACCTGAGCACTGCTCCCAGGGTCTGAGTTTGGGCTTTCTCAACCTGCTGCTATCAACACATCTGGCACCCACCCACATGTGCCACTTGTGGGCCTGGGGACTGATATGCCCAGCCTGTCACAGCCACCACCAACAACAGAGCAGACCTCTTCGGCCCAAGAGGGTTGCCTCACCACTGCTACTGATATCACCCACACCATGCCCACTGCCCAGGGGCTCAAGAGCCTACCCACCTGCCTGGCCCACTGCTGCCATTCCTGGTGTCTGAGCAAGCCATTTGGAGGCCCAATAATTGGCCTGCCAGGGCCCACTGACACCAGTGCCAGTATACACCACCCTGAAACCCAAAGACAGACATGTTCAGCCCATTGCTGCCACCACTGGGACCTAAAGATTGGCCTACCTGACATACCACTCCCCAACAGAACTTGCCTCCACTAATAACTGCACCCTAAGCCACTGAGAAAATCACAGACACTATTGAAACTGTTTATAGCCAAAGAAATCATATAGAGACTACATTACTGCATGTACTCAGAACCAAAGCCAAAGTACCCTACCCGACCAACGCCATAGATCCATCTTCAAAAAAAAGTCCTTCCCTGGGAAAGCAAATTCAAATAATTGGAATAAGTGACTGTTACATCAAATGCACAAATATTAAAGTATGGACACAGTGAACATGAAAAAGCAAAAAAATAAGACACACCCCAAAAATAATTAGCTAGGAACAGATCTCAGCAAAAAATCTCAGTGAGATACGCGGGAATATTGAAAAACAATTCAGGATATGAATGAGAGATTTACCAAAGAGAGATATATCATAAAAATGAACCTAACAGAAATTATGAAACTGAAGAATTCATGGAATGAAATACAAAATACATTCCAGAGCTTTGACAATAGACTAGATCAAGAGGAAGAAAGAATCTCACAAACTGGGGGCAGGTCTTTTGAAATAATCTAATCAGACAAAAAGAAAGAAAGAAGAAGAGGAAGAAAATGAGCAAAGCCTAAGTGACATATGGGACACCATAAAGTGACCAAATACTTGAGTTTTCAGAGCCCCAGAAGGCAAAAAGAAAACAAAAGCGTTAAAAACCCCATTTAACAAAATAATAGATGGAAACTCTTCAGGTTTAGCAGGAGATTTAGACATCCAGATACATGAGGCTCAAAGATCCTCAAATAGACACAATTCAAAAAGATTTTCTCTGTGGGACATTATAGTGCAACTGCCAAAAGTTATAGGCAAAGGGAAAATTCTAAAAACAGCAAAAGAAAAGCATCCAGTCACTTATAAAAGAACCCCCATCAGACTAATGGAGGATTTCTCAGCAGAAACCTTACAGGCCAGGAGAGAATGACATATTCAAAATGCTGAAAAAAAAAAACTTCCAGCTAAGTATACAATACTCAGCAAAGTTATCCTTCATAAATGAACAACAAGGTAAAGAGACAACCTGTGAATGGAAGAAAATCTTTGCAAACTATTCATCCAACAGGGGATGAATATCCAGAATATACAAGCAACTCCAATAGTAAAAAGCTAAATAATCCCATTAAAAAGTGGGCAAAGGGCATGAAGAGACATTTCTCAAAAGAAAACATACAAATGGTCAATAAGTATATGAAAAAATGCTCAACATCATGAGTCATCAGGGAAATGAAAATCAAAAACCAAAGTGAGATATCATCTTATCTCAGAGTGTCTATAATTAAAAAGCCAAAAGATAACAGATGCTGGTGAGGATGTGGAGAAAAGGGAACTCTTATACACTGTTGATAGGAATGTAAATTAGTACAGCCACTATGGAAAACAGTATGGAGATTTCTCAAAAAACTAAAAATAGAACTACCATATGATCCAGCAATCCCACCACTGGGCAGTTATTCAAAGGAAAAGAAATCAGTATATCAAAGGGATACCTGCACTTGTATATTTATTGCAGCACTATTCACAATAGCAAAGATATGGAATCAACCTAAGTGTCCATCAGTAGATGAATGGATAGAAAAATGTGGTATATATACACAATGGAGTACTATTTAACCATAAAAAAGAATGGATCCTTTTATTGGAAACAACATGGATGGAACTGGAGGTCATTATGTTAAGCAGAGAAATAAGCCAGGTACAGAAATATAAATTTCACCTGTGCTCACTCATTGAGGTAGAGAGTAGAATGACAGATACCAGAGACTGGGAAGGGTATGTGGGTGAGAGCAGAGTAGGGGAGGGATGAAAAGAGGTTGGTCAATGGGTACAAACATACAGATATATAGAAGGTATAAGTTCTAATGTTCAGTAGCAGAGTGGGGTGACTATAGTTAGCAACAATGTAGTGCGTATTTCAAAATAGCTAAAAGAGAGAACTTGAAATGTTCCAACACATGATAAATGATAAATATTCAAGATGATGGACACCCCAAATCCTCTGACTTGATCATTACACATTCTATGCATGTAACAAAGTATCACATGTACCCCGTAAATATGTAACATATTATGTCTCAATAAAAAACTTGAATGCCTGGTAAACTAAGAGATCCATAATTTGGGGCAAGCAAAGGGCTGTGCTTTTTTTTCTTCCTTTTAAATATAAAGTGATCAACTATGCTGTAGATCCAGCTAAGGTTAATCAATGACTATATATAAAGTTTCAAAATTTAGCTTAAACCCTTAAGTCAAACGTGCAGTCACAAAATGAGAGTAGAACAGAGCAACATGAGATCTATAACATTTAGAGCAGGTGGGCTTGATTTATGAAGCGAAGAGTCCCGGGTTTCAATTGAGATCTGATCTTTGTCATTCACCAAATTCATACTTCAAGTAATTGTGCCCAGGAATCCACTTTAAATCCTGGTTCTGACTGTCATGTTTAAATTTTCTCACATGGATTATTTTATTTTTTTATGTTGGCATTGAGAGGAAAAGGTTCTTTATTTTGAGGCAATAAGGAGTAAGATTTAAGTGTGACAAGATCTGATGCGGATGCTTTGATTTCAAGTGGTACCTCACACATAGGGACATAATTTTAGTTGTGCCTTGTTTTGTTAACTGCCAGTCTTTTTCAAACCAAAAACTAGAAATTATAACTATTAATTCAAACGTATAGGTATCCACAAAGTAAACTAAAGAGTTAGGTTAATCTTTGGGCTATTTTAGAGAGAGTGGAGGGGAAGGATTCTTTCTTGAAGTTTTTCAGAATACTGATCCAAGTGCTATGAGTCCCTAGGAAACTTCTCAGGAAGAAATCTTTCCTGACTGTTAGGTGTGAACTTATTGCTAACTCCTAATGTGTCCTTTAAAGGGGAGGCACCTTTAAACAGAGCAAAAGTACTGGCCTTTCTCTGCTCCTCTCTCACTTACTCCCTCCTGTTTAGCAGCAGGAATCAGGCACAAATGGGTCAACCTACCCTTTATTTTTTCTTTCAGGGATCTTCTACCTGTTCAAAGAAACATGTGTTCTAATATGCTTTCAGCAATGAAGCAAACTTAGCAATAAAGGCTCCCTATAGGATAGGGGAAGTGAGGATGCAGTTTCCCAGAGTGGCTGTGACAGAGTGGTGAGTCTACCTAATTCTTTGGGTTCATTGTTATTACCATACACCTAAGGTATGTCTTCCAATCTAGTTTTAGTCTGTAATAACTCCTTATTTATCTCTTGGTGGGCTGAAAATTCAGCTGGAGGAAAAGGAGGCATATAATTTATGGATGCACTGAAACCCAATATCAATATGGAGTTCCTTCTAGAGTGGCACAAAGCTTTACTTGCTTAGCGATTTCAGTTAACTAATGGCCTATGTAGGATTTTTAGATAAAGGCAGGATTGCTTGACTACTATTATTCAGAAATAGTCCCAATTTTCCACTATTTGCCTCTGTAGGTACATCTTTAAATGTATATTTGTAAATAAAACTAAATTGTTAGCTTTTAACTGACATTTTAATAACAGAAGATGGTCTTAATTACTAGTTAGAAGAGACAAAGTCCTAACGGAGATAGAGCTTAAACTTTACCTTGAAGGATAGTAACATAGAGCTAGAGGGGAACACAAAAAAAGAAAAGGAGGCTGGAGTTTTTCATAACTTTGATATATGTAAGAGAGAGTGAGGGACTAGGATCCCAATGCAGAAAGGAAAATCTGAATTGGCATAGTAGGGCCCAGAATATGTGAAGTCTTGAAAACTAACCCAAGGCCTTTATCCTACAGGCAATCAAAGAACCACTAAAAATTTTGGAACAGAGAAATAAAATGCTGAAAATAAAAAATTAGAAGGAATAAGCAAGTCACAGTGGCTCACACCTGTAATTCCAGCACTTTGGGAGGCTGACGCAGGAGGATCACTTGAGGCCAAGAGTTTGAGACAAGCCTGGGCAGCATAGCAATACCCTGTCTCTACAAAAAAAATTTTTTAAAGTTGGCCAGACATGGTGATGCATGCCTGTAGTCCCAGGTACTCGTGAGGCCGAGGCAGGAGGATCACTTGAGCCCAGGAAGTAGATGTTGCAGTGAGCCATGATCATACCACTGTACTCCTCCAGCCTGGGCGACAGAGTAAGAACCTACATTAAAAAAAATAAAAGGAGAAAGACTAATTTAATTTAAAAAAAAAAAACAAGATGGACAGAAGTAGCCAGAGAATCAATACAATTAAGTAGGAAGTCTGAAGTGATGAGAGCCTCAACAAACCACCTTCCCTTCCATGTGTCAAGTTTATTTAAAGTAAAACGTATGAATGGTTTGTATTTGGTGTGCTACTATGCACTCCTTGATCCACCAAAATAGGATTTCTCCATCTGAAATTGTTCTTGCTAAACTATCACTGACCTATTAATCACTAACTCAATAGGTTTTTTTTTTTTTCATTTCTTATCTAACAAGAACAATCATTAGTAAGATGGGCCAGACATAGTGGCTCATGTCTGTAATCCTAGCACTTTGGGAGGCCAAGGTGGGAGGACTGCCTGAGCCCAGGAATTTGAGAACAGCCTGGGCAACATAGCAAGATGTTATCTCTGCAAAAATTTTAAAAAATAGCCAGGTATGGTGGTGCGTGCCTGTGGTTCCAGCTACTTGGGAGGCTGAGACGAGAGGATTGCTTGAGTCCAGGAGGTCAAGGCTGCAGTGAGCCAAGATCACACCACTGCACTCCAGCCTGGTTGACAGAGCAAGACCTTCTCTCAAAAAAAGTAAAATAAAATAAGCACGATGACTGACCACTCCCTCTTATTAGTTTGTTAGGGCTGCCATAATAAAGTATCACAACCAAGTGGCTTAAACAAGAGAAATGTATTGTCTCACAGTTCTGGAGACTTGAAGTCCAAAATCAAAGTGTGGGGAGGGTTGGTTCCTTCTGAGGACTGTGAGGGAAAGATCTGTTCCAGGCCTGTCTTCTTGCTTGTAGATGGCCATCTTCATGTTCACATGGCATTCTCTCTGTATGTGCATCTCTGTAGCCACATTTTCCCTTTGTCTAAGGATATCAGTCATACTGAATTAGAGACCACCCTAATGATCTCACTTTAACTTGACTGCACCTATAAAGACCACACCTCCAACTAAGGTCACATCCTGAGATATTGAGGGTTACAACTTCAGTACTTGAATTCTGGGGTACACAATTCAACTCTTAACACCCTCCTTGAAATTTTACTCCCCTAGAATCCTTAGGACTTCTTTTTGTACATCTTGGACCACTCTTTCTCATTCTCTTTTTCTAGATTACTTTCCTCCACCTGCTGCTTAAAAATTAATGCTTTCTATGATTCTGCACTTTTTTTTTTTAGTTTCTCCTTTAAAAAATTTATTTTAGGTTTTGGGGGTACACGCGAAGGTTTGTTACATAAACACGTTTCATGAGGGTTTGTTGTACATATTAATACATCACCAGGTATTAAGCTTAGTACCCAATAGTTACCTTTTCTGCTCCTCTCCCTTGTCCCTCCCATCAAATAGACCTCAGTATCTGTTGTTTCCATCTTTGTGCTCATAAGTTCTTATTTAGCTCACACTTATAAGTGATAACATGTGGTATTTGGTTTTCTGTTCCTGTGTTAGTTGGCTAAGGATGATAGCCTCCAGCTCCATCTGTGTTACTGCAAAAGACATGATCTCGTTCTTTTTTATGGGTGCATAATATTCCATGATGTATATGAACCACATTTTCTTTATCCAGTCTGTCACTGATGAGCATTTAGGTTGATTCCATGTCTTTGCTATTGTGAACAGTGCTGCAATGAACTTATGAGTGCATGTGTCTTTATGGTAGAATGATTTATATTCCTTTGGGTATATACCCAGTAATGGGATTGCTGGGCCAAATGTTAGTTCTGCTTTTAACTCTTTGAGGAATCAGCATACCGCTTTCCATGATGGTTGAACTAATTTACACTCCCAGCAACAGTTTATAAGTGTTCCCTTTTATCCAAAACCTCACCATCATCTGTTATTTTTTGACTTTTTAATAATAGCCATTCTGACTGGTGTGAGAGAGTATCTCATTGTGGTTTTGGTTTGCGTTTCTCTAATGATCAGTGATATTAAGCTTTTTTTCATACGCCTGTTGGCCTCATCTATGTCTTCTCTTGAGAAATGTGTGTTCATGTCCTTTGCCCACTTTTTAATGGGGTTGTTTGTTTTTCTCTTGTAAATTTGTTTAAGTTCCTTATAGATGCTGGACATTTGACCTTCGTCAGATGCATAGTTTGCCAAAAGTTTCTCCCATTCTGTAAGTTGTCTGTCTACTCTGTTGATAGTTTCTTTTGCTGTGCAGAAGCTCTTAAGTTTAATTAGATCCCATTTGTCAATTTTTGCTTTTGTTGTGATTGCTTTTGATGTCTTTGTCATGAAATCTTTGCCCGTTCCTATGTCCAGGATGATATTGCCTAGGTTGTCTTCCAGGGATTTTATAGTTTTGGGTTTTACCTGTAAGTCTTTAATCCATCTTGAGTTGATTTTTGTATACATTGTAAGGAAGGGGTGCAGCTTCAATCTTCTGCATATGGCTACTGTGCTCCCTCTGTTTTTATACCACATGCTATTCCCTAGGGCTCCATGGCTGCATGTTTTTTAACTGGCATCTGTATAGGGATGCCTCTAAAACTTGTATTTGAAGGCCAATATCTTGCCTATACCTTACCTAGACATATATATTCATTTATTAACCTGATACATATTTATTGAGTGTTTATATGAGTTACACATTATTCCACACAGTAGGTAAAATAGACAATGTTCACATGGACATAATGGGGGAGAGGTAAAAATCTAATAAATATATAATGTCAGATCGCGATGAGCTATATTATACCGAAAATAAAAGGCAAAATTCAGGGGATAGAGGGATGAATGCTATTTTAGATAGGGTTGTCAGGAAGGCCTCTCTGAGGAGGTAGCCCTAAAGAGACCTGTACTTCCAAAAGCTAAATGAAAACCTTTCACTGGACAACCCCCAAGCACCCCAAACTTTGTCAAGTTTTAGTCCAAAATGAAACTTGTTGTCCACAACCCCCACTAATCTAATCTTCCTGTATTTCTGATTCTGGCCAGTGGCATAACCACTTTTCCAGAAACTTCTGAATCACACTTATCCTATATCCAATTAATTAGTCACTAAATCCTATCCCTCTATCAATTTAACTTCTGAAATATCTCTCAAATATAAGTCTTTTTTTCTATCCCCACATTCACTACCTTGGTTCTTACCAATTCTCATGTAACCTATTACAATAACCTTTCTCTACCCTGCTATACTACTAGCAAAGTAGTCTTTCTTAATGAAAATCTTGGCATGCCATTCGCCAGCTCGCACAGTCCCTTCCTTTCACCCTATCTTAAGAATAGACTTCAAAGCACTCAACTTGACACTCTCAATCTACTGGGATCTGCACCCCTTCAGCCTCAGTCCTCACTGCCAAGCCATTGAACCCTAAGTTCCAAAAGTGAATCTACCAAATACTGTTCCTGCCCAGAGGGCCTCCTACAAATGTTATCATTTAGCAAATACTTATGTCATTTCTATGATGGTGCCTTCTTTCTCTTCCTATAGAACTATCTACTCCAACCTTTTCTTCCCACAAACCTGTAACACTTATCATATGTCATTACCACTATCCATCTCCACTTATTAAATTGTCAGCTTCTTGAGGGCAGCACTCTTCTCAGTTACACCTTTGTAATCCTTGTATCTACATCATACCTGGCACACAATAAAAATTCTATAACTGAAACTGCAAAACTCTTGTGAAAGAAATTTTAAAAAATCTAAATAAATGAAGAGAGATTCCACGTTCATGGATTGGAAGATTCAACATGCTTAAGATGTCAGTTCTTCCTAAACTGATCTATAGATTTAACATAATCCCAATCAAAATCCCAGCAAGGCTTGTAGTAGCTATTGATAAACTAATGCAAATATTACATGTAAGGTAAAATACCTAGAATAGCCAACACAATAGTGAAGTAGAAGAAAAACGTTGGAAGTCTCAAATGTTCTGACTTTAAAAATTACTATAAAAATACAGTCATCAAAACAGCATGGTATTGGTGAAAGAAGAAGCATAGATTAAAACACACACAACACACACACACACACACAGTAGAGAGCCCAGAAACAAGCTACAAAGATAATCAACTGATATTTGACAAAGGAGCAAAGGCAATTCAAATGGAGAGAATGTCATCTTTGTAGCAAATGGTGTGGGAACAATTGGACATCACATGCAAAAAAACTGAATGCAGACACTGATGTAAGCCTTCACAAAAATTAACTCAAAATAGATCATAGGCCAAAATGTAAAATGCAAAGCTATAAAACTTCTAGAAGAAAATATAGAAAGTCTTAGGTTTGGTGATAATTTTTATATACAACACCAAAAGCACAATCCATAAAAAAACTGGTAAGTTGAACTTACTAAAATTAAAAACTTCTGCTCTGTGAAAGATACTGTTCAGAAAATATTTGTAAGACACATATCTGATAAAGGTCTTGTATAAAAAACACACAAAGCATTCCTTTTTTGTTTGTCTGTTTGTTTTTTGAGATGGAGTCTCGCTCTGTCGCCCAGGCTGAAGTGCAGTGGCACGATCTCGGCTCAATGCAAGCTCTGCGTCCCGAGTTCACGCCATTCTCCTGCCTCAGCCTCCTGAGTAGCTGGGACTACAGGCTCCTGACACCATGCCCAGCTAATTTTTTTTTTTTTGTATTTTTAGTAGAGACGGGATTTCACCATGTTAGCCAGGATGGTCTCAATCTCCTGACCTCGTGATCCACCTGCCTCTGCCTCCCAAAGTGCTGGGATTACAGGTGAGCCACCTCACCTGGCCACAAAGCATTCTTAAGATCCAGAAAGGAGAAAAAATATGTCCAATTTTTTTTTTTTTTTTTAGATGGAGTCTAGCTCTGTCGCCCAGGCTGGAGTGCAGTGGCACAATCTCGGCTCACTGCAACCTCCACCTCCAGTTTCAAGCGATTCTCCTGTGTCAGCCTCCCTAGTAGCTGGGATTACAGGCACCTGCCACCATGCCCGGCTAATTTTTGTCTTTTTTAGCAGAGATGGGGTTTCACTGTTTTGGCCACGCTGCTCTCGAATTCCTGACCTCGTGATCTGCCCGCCTCGGCCTCCCAAAGTGCAGGAAGTCCAATTTTTAAATAGGCAAAAGATGTGTATATTTTATCACAATGAAAAAATATGAATACATTTTCATCTACCGCTATATCTATATCTGTGTTCTGTATCTAGTATTCACTAGGATTGTTCATGAATTTTTGATTGTTTACAAGTTTTCTCTTTTTTGGGGCCCATGGTAGAATTGCATTTCCCCAAAGCAATAATCAGACATGGTCACTGTACTTGGTTTGATCACTGAAATGTAGGGGTAAGTATCATGTGCCTTTCTTAAGCAAAAGCTTCCAGAGCAAACAGAACTTCAATATATTCTGTTTTCCTTTTGGCACAGCAACTGTCGAAGTTCTAAATAGTGGCTGCATCAGCCTAGTTTGAGAAGAACAGTTATGTGTGAAAAAGAGCCCTCAACCATACCTCAATGGACATTTAACATGAGTAAGAAGTAAACATTTTCCCAGCAGTTTGGGAGGCTGAGCGGGAGAATCACTTGAGCCCAGGAGTTCCATACTAGCCTGGGCAACACAGAGATACCCCATCTCTACAAAAAAAATCGTTTTTTTAAATTAGCTGGGCGTGGTGGTGTATACCTGTAGTCCCGGCTACTGGGGGTGGGGAGACAAGGGCAGCCTGAGGTGGGAGTATCACTTGAGCCCAGGAGGTCGAGGCTGCAGTAAGCCCTAATTGCACAACTGTACTCCAGCCTGAGCAACAGAGTGAGACCCTGTCTCAAAATAAATAAATAAAAATAAGAAGTAAACTTTTGATGTATTAAAGTAAAAAAAAGCCTGAACAAACTGTTTACCAATGAAGATCTGAAAGACAGTTTACTGATTAAAATATGTAGATGGTAAATTAACATATGAAAATATACTCACCATCATTTGTCATTAGGAAATTGAAAAGTGACATATCACTACAAACCTATTAAATGGCTAAAATTTAAAAACTAGCAATACCAATTGATGTGGAGCAGTAGGAAGAAACTTTTTTTTTTTTTTTGAGACAGAGTCTTGCTCTGTCACCCAGGCCAAAGTGCAATGACGCAATCTCGGCTCACTGCAACCTCCGCCTCCCAGGTTCAAGCAATTCTCCTGTCTCAGCCTCCCGAGTAGCTGGGACTTCGAGTGTGTGCCACCACGCCCGGCTAATTTTTGTATTTTTAGTAGAGATGAGGTTTCGCCATATTGGCCAGGCTGGTCTCAAACTCCTGACCTCGTGATCTGCCCTCCTTGGCCTCCCAAAGTGCTGGGATTACAGGCATGAACCACCACGCCTGGCCAGGAACTTACTCATTGGTGCTGGGAACACAAAATGGTACTTTTTGGATGACAATGTTTCTAACAAAGCTAAACATAATCTTACCATATGATCCAGCAATTGCACTCCTAGCCATTTACCTAGCTTATTTGAAAGTTTATGTCCACAAAAAAACCTGCATATGAATGTCTATAGCAGATTTATGCATAATAGCCAAAAGCTGAAAGCAACAAAAATGCCCTTCAATAAGTGAATGGAAAAACAAACTATGATAAATCTACAAAATGGAATATTATTCATCAATAAAAGGAGCTATCAACTTATAAAAAGGCATGAATGAATCTTCAGAGACTATTACTAAGTGAAAGAAGCCAGTTTGAAAGGGTATGTGCTGTATGATTCCAACTATATACAATTCTGGAAAGCAAAACCATAGAGATGGTAAAAAGATCAGTGGCTGCCAGGGGCTTGAGGCTGGGGGAGAGGTAAATAGGTGAAGCACAGGGGATATTTCAGGGCAATGAAACTACTGGATGATATTGTGATGGTGGATACATGGCATTAAGCATTTGTCAAAACCTAGAGAATATACAGCACAGGAATAAACCTTAATATGTGCAAATAAAAAAAGTCATTTAGGGGCTTTAGGGGGGGGGTCCCAGATCAAATACAAAAAGTAACCAAAACTAACTGTATTACAAGTACATTTACAACCTCATTTAAAGGGGTCGGGGGAAAAGTGCTGACCTCTGTAACTATGAAAATGAATGAAATTTGCAAGATTGAGTGCAAAAGAAACTATACATAAGCACTGTACTTTAGTTGACTGTTATTGTCCATGGGAATATTGATTAACAATTCTGATCTGCCCTACATATATGGTGGAATTGAACAATTACACAAATAGAAGATGGCAGGACCCAGGTTTCACACTACCGGAGTGAGAGGTTACAGACAAGCAAGGGAAGGAGGCTAGAATGAGCCATGTGGTAATGGATTAGAGTTTAAGGCATCAGTATTAACTCATGCTTAGCTTAATGTAGAGACAAATGGTCACATATAGAGATATTTATAGCTATGTGTATATATAGGGGTCAGTATATACACATGTTTTTCCTTGCTCTGTCAGTTGACGAACACTAGAAGCAATGACACAGTAGTATGGAGCACATTTAGCACCATTCTCCCATAAAAGAAACCAGGGCTCCTTGGAGAAATGGCTCATTCTAGGACTGGGGCAGGAAATATACAAGATGAGCCAGTAGCATCTTATAGCATCAGAAAGCAAGGAAGTGCTCAAAAACCAAACAAAGCAAAATAAAAGAACTTCATGATTGGAGTATGTCAGAGGGACACAGAAGCCAACTGAAAGAGCTCCCAGTGGCCAAAGCTGGACCAACTGGGGCAAGAAAATAAATAACATAGTATTGAATTGTAACCCAAATTATAAAATAAATATCCATGAGTCCATAGTGATATAAATAAATGTATAAATCAATAAATGGGAGACACAATCTCCTATGCAGAAGTCCAAATAAGTGATGTAGTTGCTTCTGCCTCAAGGAAGTAAGGCATAGCTATCCCTTCCTTAAAAGCAGACTGTGGGCCGGCGCGGTGGCTCACGCCTGTAATCCCAGCACTTTGGGAGGCCGAGGCGGGCGGATCACGAGGTCAGGAGATCGCGACCATCCTGACTAACACGGTGAAACCCCGTCTCTACTAAAAATACAAAAAATTAGCCGGGCGTGGTGGCAGGCACCTGTAGTCCCAGCTACTCGGGAGGCTGAGGCAGGAGAATGGCGTGAACCCGGGAGGCGGAGCTTGCAGTGAGCCGAGATTGTGCCACTGCACTCCAGCCTGGGCGACAGAGCAAGACTCCGTCTCAAAAAAATAAAAATAAAATAAAATAAATAAATAAATAAATAAATAAATAAAAGCAGACTGCGCAGAGTGACTTCCTCCCAAAAAATACAATAAAAAAAGGGAGTGGCGGGGGGAAGATATCTGGGCCAGGTGCAGTGGTTCGTGCCTATAATCCCAGCACTCTGGGAGGCCAATGAGGGAGGATCACCTGAGCTCAGGAGTTCGAGACCAGCCTGGACAAAAAAGGGACATGTAATCTCTACACAAAATGACAGTAAAGTGGAGAACTTGAGAAACAATACCACAGCCAGGTGTTCCAGATCAACATTAACAGTGACAAATCATATTGACGTGTACCCTTGATATGATATAATGAAGATGGCACTTTACTTCTGTGGCCATCCTCCACAAACCCATAACCCTAGACTAATCATGAGAAAAATATCAGACAAATCACAATTGAGAAACATTCTACAAAATGTCTGACCACTACTCAAAACTGTCAAGATTAAAAAAAAAAAAGTGAAAGTGTGAGAAACTGTTTCAACCAAGAGGAACCCAGGGAGCCCTAAAACAACTAAATGTAATGTGGTGTCGTAGTTGGGATCCTCGAACAGAAAAAGGATATTAGATAAAACCCAAGGTAATCTGAATGAAGTATAGACTTTAGCTAATAAAAATAAAATTCAATAACTATCAAATGTATGGATGATTCCTTAATAATACTTTTGTCCTTGCTAAACTTCTTTTTTTTTTTTTTTTTTTTTTTTGAGACAGAGTCTCACTCTGTCGCCCGGGCTGGAGTGCAGTGGCACCATCTTGGCTCACTGCAACATCCGCCTCCCTGGTTCAAGCGATCCTCCTGCCTCAGCCTCCTGAGTAGCTGGGACTACAGGCATGTGCCAACATGCCCAGCTAATTTTTTGTATTTTTAGTAGAGATGGGGTTTCACCGTGTTAGCCAGGATGGTCTCGATATCCTGACCCCATGATCTGCCCCCCTTGGCCTCTCAAAATGCTGGGATTACAGGCATGAGCCACCACACCTGGCCCGTCCTTGCTAAACTTATAGTGTGATGAATTAAAAAGAAGGTGAGCTTTGGCATCACGCAAATCAGATCTGCTCTCAGCTTCACTCCTTGGTTGCTGTTGAATTCTGAATGAGTTCCTTTTTTTTTTTTTTTTTTTTTGAGATGGAGTTTTGCTGTTGTTGCCCAGGCTGGAGTTCAATGGTGTGATCTCAGCTCACTGCAACCTCCGCCTCCTGGGTTCAAGCAATTCTCCTGCCTCAGCCTCCCGAATAGCTGGGATTACAGGCGACCGCCCCCACACCTGTATAATTTTTTTTTTTTTGTATTTTTAGTAGAGACAGGGTTTCACTATGTTGATCAGGCTGTCTTTCAAATTGCAAAAAGGAAAATTTGGTAACGGCAACCAAAAACACCGTAAGCCTATGTACTGTGCTGAAATACAAAAGCGTAAGCCCAAACTAAGAGTGTCTTTATTTTCTATTTGGATGCAAGCCAAAATCAAACAGAACTGACGTAGTGCCATTCTGCCTCTCCCAAGAAAGAAAGAAAGAAGGAAGGAAGGAGGGAAGGAAGGAAGGGAGGGAAGAGAGAGAGGGAGGGAAAAAGAACGGTTCGCGGGAAAAAGACATCAAATAACAGCAAAGAAATGCAGCTTCTAAAGTAATCTCCAGTTCCTTACTGGCTGTGAGGAAAAAAAACTTCTCACTGGATTAGTCCTGACATATTAAGAATTAAGAGCAGCCTCTAGTGGCAGATCAAAGATTTTACAAAGTAGCCTTGCAGAAACCAAAATGCCTTCTATTTTTTACTGCTTGCTCTAAGCAAGCTCAGAGCCAAATTAGCTCATCAACTTTTGCAAGTATGAATAATTTCACCCGGCTTTGAGTGTTCTTAATACTTATATTTTATTTATATTCTTTTTTATACGTAGTTTAGCTGGACTATTATAATATCATGGTGGGGTAGGATGTGGTGGGGGAGGATTTTTTTTCAAAGAACAAAGGATTGACTGAAGCCTAAATGAAGACAGATTTGATGAACTGAAGTTCAGTTCTCACTTAGCTTTTTCTGTCTCCTTAAATGAGGGTGATCAAAACTAGAAATATCCTAAGGAAAACAGAAATACCTGAGAAACAATGAATTTCCCTGAACTTCATCTTTCCAAAAGGAGCACCTTTCTCCAACACTGAATATGCCAAATGTCTCGTTTTACACACCTGCGTTTCTCCTTCCTCGGAACTCTATCATCCAAACCCTTGGTTTCTCATCACTTATGAAATTAAAAATAAATGAATAAATAAAATGTTCTTCCTCATCAGTTATTGCTACAAAGACGCTGTTATCTTGGGATAAACTCAACACGCCGTGATACGGTGTGAGGATTGCCTATCATGGCAGCTGTCCACTATCCAGAGAAACAATCAGAAAGTTTTAGGAACACCCAAGGGCAGATTTTTTTTCGTTTCAAATTTTCACAACGGACAGTACCAGGGAGCTGGGGGGAAACTGCTGAAAGCTGGGACACAAACGGGTGACTCAGGGTGGATAGAAGTCACCCCATCAGAGAGACCAAGGAACTTTACCTACCACCAACCACTTCCCTGGACTTTTTTGTTTGTTTGTTTTGACGAGTGTCTCTCTGTCGCCAGGCTGGAGTGCAGTGACGCCATCTCGGCTCACTGCAACCTCCGCCTCCCGGGTTCACGCCATTCTCCTGCCTCAGACTCCCGAGTAGCTGGGACTACAGGCGCCCGCCACCACGCCCTGCTAATTTTTTGTATTTTTAGTAGAGATGGGGTCTCACCTTGTTAGCCAGGATAGTCTCGATCTCCTGACCTCGTGATCCGCCCACCTTGGCCTCCCAAAGTGCTGGGATTACAGGCGTGACCTACCGCACCCGGCCCTTCCCTTGACTTTTAACCAGGCTTTTGGAGAAAGCGTGGAATAGTAAAAGGCCAAAACAATAGCCTCCCTTTCCCGGGTGTGGACACCCTTCCCGGTCCTCAGGAGCCTCAGAGGATCACCCTCTCCGCCCCTTCCTCTAGGGCCTCGCTTGGGAACGCAGCGAAGGCGAGGCCCGACCCTGCCTGGGACGCCGCAGCCCTGGCCCACCAGTGCTCCCAGCCCGCCTGTTCTCAGGATTCCGTGCGTCCAGCGTCGGGCTAGTGCCTCCTCCAGGTCAGAGCGCCGTTCCCTCTAGGATGCAGGAGCAAGAGATGTGCGCGGAAAGGTCCCCAGGACGAGGACGAAGCCTCAGGCTTCTCAAAATAAATGGCGCACTTGGCCTTGGAGGGAAAGGAGGAGGCCTCCGGGAAGGTGTGGAGGAGACTGGCAGCCTTGACAGCATCGAACTGGGTTCC